>NC_000016.10:34339329-34521510 GCF_000001405.40 Homo sapiens
GAATTCTCCAGTTTTTGTAATTAAGAAAAAATCAGGTAAATGGAGAATGTTAACTGATTTAAGAGATATTAATTTAGTTATACAACCTATGAGGACATTACAGCCAGGATTGCCTTCTCCTGCTATGATTCTGAAAAATTGGCCATTAGAAGTCATAGATTTAAAAGACTGTTTCTTTACTATCCCCTTAGCTGAACAAGACTGTGAATGGTTTGCATTTACAATTCCTGCAGTAAACAACCTGCAGCCTGCTAAGCATTTTCACTGGAAAGTGTTGCCACAAGGCATGTTAAACATTCCAACAATTTGCCAGACTTATGTAGGGCAAGCAATTAAACCTACTCATAAAACATTTTCACAGTGTTACATTATTCATTATATGGATGATATATCTTGTGCTGCCCCCACTCGAGAAATATTACTCCAGTGTTATGATCACTTGCAAAATTCAATTTCTGACACTGGTTTAATTATAGCTCCTGACAAAATTCAGACTACTCCTCCTTACTCCTACTTGGGGACCTTAGTAAATGACACTACCATTGTGCCACAGAAAGTAACTATATGTAGGGATCGATTGAAAACATTAAGTAACTTTCAAAAATTACTAGGCGACATTAATTGGATATGACCTGCTCTAGACATTCCTACCTATGCCATGAGTAATCTATTTTCTGTTCTTAGAGGAGATCCTAGTATCACTAGCCCTTGGCAATTAACAAAAGAAGCTGAGGCAGAGCTGCAGTTGATCAAAAAGCAAGTCCATAAAGCCCAAATAAATAGAATAGATCCAGAGAAGACTCCAGATTTGCTAATTTCTCCAACTCAGCATTCACCTACTGGTGTTATTGTCCAAGAACAGGACTTAGTAGAATGGCTTTTTCTTCCACATACTAATTCATGGACTCTAACTCCTTATTTGGATCAAAACGCTACTATGATAGGAAATGAGAGAACTCAGATTGTTAAATTACATGGATATGATCCTAGAAAAATTATTGTCCTCCTCATGAAGGCAAACATACAGCAAGCTTTTATAAATGGTCTTACTTGGCAAACTCATTTAGCTAACTTTGTGGGTATTCTTGATAATTTTCCTGAAACAAAACTGTTTCAATTTTTGAAATTAACTAACTGGATCCTCTCTAGAATAATTAAATTTAAACCAATTGAAGGTGCTGAGAATGTCTTAACAGATGGGTCTAGTAATGGTAAAGCTTCTTATTCTGGCTCAAAAGGTAAAGTTTTTCAGATGCCCTATACTACAGCTCAAAAAGCAGAGCTTGTAGCTGTAATTGAGGTATTGACCACTTTTGATATGCCTATTAATGTGATTTTTTATTCTTCATACATGGTTCATTCCACACAATTATTTGAAAATGCTCAGTTATGATTTCATACAGATGAACAACTGATAACTTTATTTACCCAACTGCAAATAGCAGTTAGGAGTAAAATGTACCCTTTTTACAACACTCACATTAGGGCTCATACACCTCTTCCAGGACCTTTGACTGCAGGGAAACAAATGGCTGATTGCCTAGTTGCTATTGCAATATCTAATGCTAAACACTTTCACAATTTAACCCATGTTAATGCCTCTGGTCTCAAATGCAGATACAGCATTACCTGGAAAGAAGCTAAAGCTATTATCCATGATGCCCAAATTGCCAAATGGTGTATTCCTCATCTTTTACAGGAGGAGTTAATCCTCAAGGATTGGAATCTAGTTCTCTTTGGCAAATGGATGTCACACATGTTTCTTCATTTGGGAAACTGGCTTATGTACATGTATGTGTGTACACCTTTTTTCACTTTGTCTGGGCTACATGCCAACCAGGAGAGTCTTCCGCCTGTGTTAAACATCACCTTTTGCAGTGTTTTGCAGTGATGGGCATTCCAGCTTCTATTAAAACAGACAATTCCCCCAGGCTATACTAGCCAAGCTCTAGTACATTTTTCTCTATATGGATATTAAACACATTACTGGTATCCCATATAATTCTCAAGGACAAGTCATAGTAGAAAGAATGAATCTCTCCCTGTAAGAGCAGTTGCAAAAACAGAAAGGGGGAACAGGGATTATGGGACAGCCCATACACAATTGAATCTAGCATTATTAACTTTAAATTTTTTGAGTGTGCCTAAAGGCCAAATGTTAGCAGCTGAACAGCATCTATAGAAACCAGCTGCAAAGACAGAAGCAAAACAACTGGTTTGATGGAGAGATCTGATAACAAAAAGTTGGGAAATAGGTAAAATAATAACAGGGTAGAGGTTATGCTTGTGTTTTTCCAGGACTGAGTCAACAGCTGATTTGGATATCATCAAGAAACCTGAAACCTTATCATGAGTCAGATGCTGAGGAAGAGATTCCAGGAAGAACCCAAGGAACCCCTGGTTGCAGTCATGTCGAGACTGACACTGAGGAGGACCCCAACTGTCATGAGCAGCACCCATTGAACACAGCCACCCACCTGGGGACAGATCAAGAAGCTGTCACAGATGGTGGAAGAAAACCTGAGGAAAGAGGGACAACCAGTCACAATGAGTAATTTAACGGTAGCTATGATAGTGGTGATCACCATTGCCATGAGTATTCCTTCAACAAGGGCTGACACAGAGAACAATTATACTTATTGGGCATATTTATCAATCTTGGCTGGCAATAATGCCTGGATGTAATCACTCTATGACACAGTTATGCATGCTTTCTGATCTCAGTATTTGTCATAATAAATCTGGTCCTACAATTGAGGCATACTGGCCTCAAAAACCTATTTGTAAACAGAATTGAACCTGGGCAGAAAAAATGAATGTACTTGTTTAGGAAGATTGCATTGCAGAACAGGCAAAGGTGCTGGTGCAACGATTCCTATGGAATCATTATTGATTTGTCCCTAATGGGCTGTTTAGATTGAATTGCACCCCTCTGCATGCCATGGCCATACTATGTTCAGCTGGTCTGAATAAAATGGTCAGATGGTAGAAACGATAAGAAATATGGCAAGAGTTCCTATTATCTGGCACCATGGTGGTATAGTGGCCCCTCAACCTCAAATGATATGGCCTGTTATAGGACCTAAACATAAGGATTTGTGGAAACTATTAATGACTCTTAATAAGAACAAAATTTAGGAAAGAATAAAAAGCATCTAGAAGCACACTCTAAAAATTTGTCTTTGGATATTGTAAAATTAAAAGAACAAATATTTAAAGCATTCCAGGCACACCTGACCTTAATGCCAGGAACTGCAGTACTTGAAGGAGCTGCAGTTGGGTTAGCAGCTAGTAATCCATTAAAATGGACAAAAACACTTGGAAGCTCTATGATTTCAATGATGATTGTGCTTTTAATCTGTGTTGTTTGTCTTTGTGTAGTATGCAGATGCAGATCCTGACTCCTGTGAGAAGTAGCTCACTGTGACAAAGCTGCCTTTGTTTTTATCTCTTTGCAAAATAAAGAAGGGGGACATGTTGGGAACAGGCCCCTGGATCTGGCCATAAACTGCCCCAAAACTGGCCCTAAGCAAAATCTCTGCAGCACTGTGACATGCTCTTGATGGCCATGACACCCACGCTGAAGGTTGTGGGTTTACTGGAATGATGGCAAGGAACACCTGGCCCACCAAGGGCGGAAAACCCCTTAAAGGCGTTCTTAAACCACAAACAATAGCATGAGCTATCTGTGCCTTAAGGACATGCTCCTGCTGCAGATAACTAGCCAGACCCATCCCTTTACTTTGGCCCATCCTTTTATTTCCCATAAGAAATACTTTTAGTTAATATATAATCTATAGAAACAATGCTTATCACTGACTTGCTGTCAGTAAATATGTGGGTAAATCTCTGTTCAGGGCTCTCAGCTCTGAAGGCTGTGGGACCCCTGATTTCCCACTCCACACTCTGTATTTCTGTGGGCCTTTAATTCCTCTAGTGCCACTGGGTTAGGGTCTCCATGACCGAGCTAGTCTTGGCACCTGTGCAAGGCACAGGACTCTCCGTTTCCTGCCTATGACATGGGGTCAGAAGGAGCATGGGTAAGACTTGGTACTTTAGCCTCATCCTTCCCAGCAGACTCAGGCCTGGTCTCCAGCATCCCTTCCTCCCCCTTACCTGTGAGAGAAGGACTCTATCCTGGAGGCCAGGATCTTCACAGCAAAACCATGTTCTGAATAACAATGACTTCCTATCCTGGGATATTATCTCCCAAATCGACCTCATCCAGCCCACCTTTTCTGGGTGACTTGGCTGCACCAACATCCTTCTTTGAGTTCTCTGGGGAGTCCTTGTGGCTCTGGGGGTGACAAGGATGGAGCTGAATCAGATGGGCCTAGCTGGTGAGGGAGGGCTGTCTGCCTCACTTCACCTGGGGGGGCATGTGCCTTATAGAACAGTGTCTGCATACCTTCCTGAGCCTCCAACCCACAGTCCCACCTCATCCTCAGCACCCCTGCAGTCCACCGCCTCTTCCCTCCCACATCCTGAGCCCTCCCTTCCCATCTGCTGCTCCTCAGCCCACCATGGCATGGCTTCCACCTGAGCACACTGCCCAAAGCACTCTCCCCAGGGTCACCAATGCCACTGTTAGGGCCCAGCCCAAGGATCTTCTCCAGCCCTGATGTGTGTGACTTCTCAGCAGCACCCCCCACCACTGCACACTCCCTCCTCCTCTTCCCTGACCAACATGATCCCCCTGTCCCTCCCTCTCTGGCTCCATCCCCTTCCACCAGTCCTGAGCTGGGGATGTGCCTGGGCCCAGCCTCTTCTCTTTCTCACCTCATCCTCTCCATGGCTTCAAATATCCTCCTTCCACCATGAAGTTCCCATGGCAAATCCTAATCCTGGCCCTGATCAGGCTTTACAGATGGAGGGGACAGCTGCCTCCCAGGCATCACATGTGGCTGACCCTTAAGCGTCACTGAAGACTTGTCTTGTGGGAATGGAATTTAGCTTCCTCCACAAACTGGCCGCTGCTCTGTGTAGGTCCCCCTTCCCTGTTGAATCACTAATCCTAATCTCCCAACTGGCCCATGGTCCCCTACCTCTGTGGCCAAGCCCTGGGATGGGCATTTCTCCTGTTTCAAGACTGCCACTTGGAACCCCTCTAATAAGCCCACTGCTCTCTAAGTCAAGCTTCCTAAGCCAGCACTCTCAGGCACCAACCTAAAGCCAGCCTCAGTTTCTTCCTGCCTCCCACTCAGGTCTAGAAGGGCCAAAACACAGAAGGCTGAAGACCATGCCCCTGCCCTCCCACCTCTGTGCTTTTGTCCAGGCTGCCCCTGATATTCCATTCTTTCAGGCATGCACACTCATCTTTCTAGGCCTAGGTGAAATAAGCCCTCTTCTCAAATGCCAGAATGACCACTGATGGCAGAATTACACCCCATCCCCCAACTTACAGGCTGTGAGGAGAGTGGGGAGTAGGTGGCATAATTTTCCATTCCTACCTAGGCACCAGGGGAACAAAGGAGAGCCCCTCCCTGCCTTTGGGAGCTGAGGCCTCCTCTCAGAAACCCTCCAGCAAACACAGGCCTGCCTGGATGCCCATTGAGCAAATGGGGACCTGGGACCCCAGGGTGTGCCCATCAGCCAGGCAGGCCTGCTTGGCTTGGCTTGGCTGAGAGCTCAAAAGTCTCAGCCCTGAGCAGAGTCTGGGTCAGCTTCCAGATAGAACAGCGCACCCAGATCCACCCATCCCAGCCAGCCCCATCTTTTCTTCCCTACCCAGCTCTCAGCAGTGGGATTAGGGTGCATTTCCCAGAAATGTGTGGGCCCAAACATGACCCACTGGAAGCATGGAGCAGGAGCCTCAGACAGAGGTTTTGCCAGCACAGAAAGGCATACCAGGGACATGGAGAGAAGCTACTATCCCTCCCCTGTATCCCACGACATAGAAATAGGACCTCCGGGAGCTCAGATATGGTCCCCTCCTTCTCACCCCAAATAAGGGTGTATGAGGCTCAGAAAGGTCCAGAGTCTGACCTAAGGACACCGGTCAGAAGGAAACCAGATTCCCTTCCACAGCCACACCCCCACGGCTGCTGCACTGCCCAAAACCCTAGCCACTGAGAGTCTTCAATAACTGCATCTGCTGTCACCCCTCCATGAAACTGCCAAGAAGCACAAGGATGCACAAGGACTTCCTCTCCCTTCCGGCGACCCAACAGCTCCCAGGCAGGGTAACCCCAAGCTCTTGGTAAGTGAGCAGCCATGCCCCACAGTGAAAAACTGCCTGACACTAATGACTGAGCAGACAGGAGTAGGAGGGGCAGAGATCGATTGGTTTTCAAGAAGCAGCAAGAGGAAGGGCAGATAGGAGGAGGAACTTACCCTACAAGGTCCCAGAGAAAGGCTGTGTTGACTGGTATGCCCCTGGAATGAGGGGAGAAGGAGGAAGGGCCCCCACCCACTGTGAAGCAGCAGTTTTGAGCTCTGAGATCCCAGAAGTGGGGAGGCAGAGACCTGGACCTAGATGAGAAACCTGTGCTCCTTGGCGTGTCTAGAATGGGAGGCATGGATAAGGAGAGGGAAGACAAGGCCAGGTGGCCACAGGCCCCATCCTCCCTCCCCAGCTCTGGGAGCCCACCACCTGCAGAGGGCATCTATCCCCTGATCAGATTTCAAAACAACGTGGCTGGTTCCCCAGAGGCCTCCTTTTACCCATGAGGGTCTGTCCTGCCCCTCCTCCTTCCTCTGGAGAACCCTGAAGGTCTCATCATCTCTGGGTGAAGCCCTGGGGACCTCCCCAGTGAGAGAGTAGCCAACTTGTTCATGAGGACTCCACTGCTCCCTGGTGCCACCCTCTCCTGGGCCCTGGGGTCTCAGGACTGCCATGTTAGCAAAGTAGCCAGTTCCCTGGTGCCATCTGTGTTCCTCACTCCAGTCTCTGCCGCTACCCTTGCTCTAATGCAGCTGGTGGGTCCCAGGCTGGAGCTCGAGCTGGCTTTGGGCTTCAATGGGCCACACTTACCAGGGCTGCCCCAGGAAGGGTGCACTCCCCTTGCCTTGCATCTGGCTGAAGGTTGGCCAGAAGGACGGCTATGGGCCAGGAGGCCCCAGTGGCTCCAGGATACCAGAAAACACAGCTATCTGCACTCGGGCCTATCTCCCTATACCCCCAGAAAGGGGCCACTCCTGGCAAGGCCACTGGGTGACAGGAGAACCCGGCATTTGGGGTACTTGCACCCCTGAAGATTGAGGGCCTAGGAGACTGGCTGACAGCATAAGCGCCCTGAATGGGGGTCCTCTGCTCAGCTTCCACCCCAGAGGGTTGGGCAGAACTGCTTTGGCAACAGCTGATGTAGAGCTGGGCCCAGGCCCTGAGGGGCTGCCCCAGTCTGCCAATCACAGGCACTGAGCATCTCCTCTGCCTTCTGGGCCTAGAGGCCAGCTGGGGCCTCTGGTTCCTGCTGCCCCCTGCAGGTGCCCTGACAGTCACCTCCTTCCTGAGAGTCACTGGTGATGGTGAGAGGGAGGTGGATGGAACCCCCCATCACTGTCTCCCAGAGGACAACTGCACTGGTACCCCAGGCCTCTGAGCTCCAACTGAGAAGCTGGTGGCTCCACCTTCCCATCCTCACAGCCCCTTCCCTGCCAGGAGGGAACCAAGTCTCTCCCAGGGGGAACAGAGCTGGCAGCAAGAGGCCAAGGGCAGCTCAGCTGGGGAGAGGGAGCATGCCCACCTCGCCAGGGCACCCCCCAGGGCCTCTGCTGTGCTCCCAGGGCCCCGTCAGGACAGCTCTGGCATCCATCCTAACCAGCTTAAGTGGGAGCCAGGATCTCCCTACAGCCCTGCCCCTCCAGGCCCAGGGACCCAGGCAGAGGCTGTGCCTCTCCATAGCTCCCACCATGGGTTCTGGGCCTCACACAATGACCAGATGGGAAGAAGGGCCAGGCCTAGGCAGAACCCGTCTCTTACCCACTCCCCAGATTGAAAAAGAAATAGGTCATTTCACATGTCATGATTTTGTATAAATATTTGTAAGAAATTTACTAAAAACCTATATGAATTAATAAATTAATTAGATACAATCAGATACAAGATCAACATACAAACTTAAATTGTACTACTGTATAAAATTAGTCAATCTAAAAATTAAATGAAGACAAAAATACCATTGGTAAAAGCCTCTTAAAGGAAGAAATAGTCAGAAATAACTTTAAGAAAATAAGAGCAATGACATCATAGTGAAAAATTATTTTAAAATGCTAAAAGTAATCAAAGAACTGAATATGTTGAGAGACATCAATATTCAAGAATAACAATGCTTAATATTAATATCAAAATACTAAAAGCTGGATCTATAGATTTAATGCAAATTCTCTAGGTTTTTTCAACAAAAATTTTAAACCTCTTCCTAAAATGCATGTGGATACGCAAAGGAAATAAAATATATGCATTTTTTGAAAAGAATAACAAAATTTAGTTACTTACACTGCCAATATCTTTTTTTTTTTTTTTTCAGAGACAGGGTCTTGCTCTGTCACCTTGGCTGGAGTTCAGTGGCAGGATTACAGCTCACTGCAACCTGGAACTTCTGGGCTCAAGTGATCTTCCCACCTCAGCCTCATGAGTAGCTGGGACTACAAGTGCATGCCACTCATCCCGCTAACATTTGTTTTTTCTTGTAGAGATGGGATCTTGGTGTGTTGCCCACGATAGTCTCAGACCCCTGGGCTCAAGCAATTCTCCTGCCTTGGCCTCCCAAAATGCTTGGATTACAAGTGTTAGCCACCTTGCTCACCCATCCAGTATCAATTTTTACTGCAATGTTATAGTCTGGTACTAGCATAAGTATAGATTCATGTAGGCCAACAGAATAGAATAGAAGGGCCACTAATAAACACATTAATTTATGGTAAATTGATTGTGTCAAAGATGCCAAGAAATTGTAAAAGGAAAATAAATGTCTTTTCAAAAAATTTTGCTGGGAAAATTAAATATACACTTTGCAAAAGGAAAAAGTGGACTCCTAACTCAAACCACAGACCCCCAAAAATACTCAGAAAGGGTAATATATCAAAATGTAAGAGGTTAAAGACAAAATTCTTTGGAGAAATCTTATAGTTAATATTTGTATTCTTGGGTTACATAAATATGTCTAAGATATTACACCAAAGGCACAATTTTATTAAAAAAATAAATTATACTTTATTGAATTGGAAACTTTTGTTTTTAGAACATCAAAAAGAATATGAAAACATATGCTGCTTAATGGGAAAAATATTTTAAATTGTATACATTATTTGGGTATATTAGGGTTTATAAAGAACACACACACATATATATTTTATATATATATCATATATATTTTATATAAAATCTCATTTATATATGGAATCTTAAAAACCAAACTCAGAGAAGCTAGTATCTAGAATATATAAAAAACTCTTATCGGTCAATAATAAAACAACAATTGACCAATTAAAAATGGACAAAAGATTTGAATAGATGTTTTCCATAGAAGATACACAATTTGCCAATTTGCTCAATTTCATCAGTTGTTAAGAAAATACAAATCAAACCACAATTAGTACTAGTTGACACCCACTAGAATGGCTATACCAAAGATACAATGACAAATGTTAGAAAAGAAGTGGAGAATATGGAACTCACATATGCTGCAAATAGGAATGTAAAATATTCTGCCACCTTGAAAATAAAACAATACGAAATAAAAATGTGGCTATCCCTCAAAATGTTGCACATAAAATCACTATAGGACACAGAAATTCTAACCCAAAGTTAGTATGCAAAGGAAATTCCTATAATCATACAAAGACGCTCATATGAATGCACATAACATGTGGTCATGTCCATGCAATAGAACTCCACTTGCCATCCAAGAGGAATAATGTAATGATGCAATGATGCAAACTACAACAGAAATGAAACCCAAAAACATTAGGCTAAGCGAAAGGAACCAGACCCAAAAGACCACATAATTCATGATCCTGGCTATTAGAAACTCTGATAATAGGCTCATCTATAGAGACATAAAATTGATTGTTGTCTAGATCTGACATGGCAAAGGTGAATGCAAGTAGGATGCATTTTCCTCTTAAGGGATACAAATATTCTAAACTTAGATGGTAATTAAGCTCGCATGGCTCTATAAATATACCAAATAGCCTGGAGTTGTACTTAAAATATGTGATTATATTATATAAAATATACCCCAGTAAAGCATTTTAAAAAATTAACAGGTCAACATACACTAAGGTTGTTTAAGATTTTGAGAAACCCAGGGCACAGATTGTAAAAATGAAATCTATTTCTTGTCCATTTCAAAGCATAATAAAGAAAATGGAGGCAGCAAGCTAACACGCAAAGGTTTGGTTAGTGATGCAGGTGTATTAATGGGCAGGAACCATGTGATTCGTTTAACCAGGTCAGAAAAGCAAAGGAAATGATCGTAATTTATTGAAGACCACTCTGACTCAGAGTGACTCAGATTGTTAGGAATGTGAAAGCTGTACTCGTAGGTTTGGGCATATTTCTTATCAAACACAGCTCAAAAGAGCCATCTCACAGAAAGGTTATCAACGACTCTCCTATCCGCAGTTTCCTGGAGTTTTACAGTTGTCTATCGCCAGCCCTAAAACTGCATTGTAGTCACTCATTCTAAACCCAATGTAGCACTCAAATCTAATACGAAACTCCACATTTCATGACTACCACGTTCAATAAATTGCCTTTTATTTTTTTCATTTTTTGGCCAGCCCTCCGCATTCCCTCTGTTTGTAGCCCTACCTGTCGCCGCTCGCTCTGGAGCAAAATTGTCCACCTCGGGAGCTGGGGCTGCGGGTCCGCGTACTGCGCCGGGCGCCCGTGTTGGCTGGTTCAGGAGCTGTGGGGCGGGCTTGGAGCTCACAGGGCGCAGATGTCCCCTGACAGCCCCGGGAGCCCGCGGCCGCCCCCCGCACCAGGCCGCGCTCCCCTCAGCAGGCGCCCCAAGGGTTCTGATCTGGGCTGGAAATTGAGCCCAGCAGAGAAGGAGGAGGGGGAGCGCCGACCCCACCCTCCGCTCCGCACGGTCGGCCAAGTAAACCCAATTCCAATTCCGTAATAAAAGGATGCAGAGGTGCGCAACTAGCTCCGTTCCTTCCTGCTGCCTGCCCTTAAGGGGTGGCCCCACTGTCTCCAAGGCTCAAGGAGCTTCCCCGCCCAGGAGCCCCGCGACTCCCCCGAACTAAGTTTGCCAAGCGCCAAGTGTGGCAGGCGGGAGCCCAGGCCTCCTGGCCGCGTCCACCGGGCGATGCAGAGAGCGATGCCAGTTTCACTTCCTTCCTCCGGGACCCAGAAAGGTCTGAAGACGGGAAAATACCCCGCGCCGGGTAGGGGCGACCCTAGGAGCCCCACGGATCTATCTCCCAGACGCCCTACAGAAGGACCCTGCAAGACCTAACCTGCTGAGGCCCCTTCTTTCCACCCTTTACCTCTCGGGGGAGCCATCATTCCCCTGAGTGTCCCCCTAGGTTATTCACGCGCACCCCGCATTGACCTCTGGCCTTGGAGCACCCTCGAGTGTTCCCCGCCCGGAACATGGGACTCCACAATTATTCCCCTCCAAAGACTCCTCCCAAACCTGTCTCCTGGCATCAGCGACACTGACACACTGCGGCAACTGCCCAGGCTGCCCCCTTCCCCGCCCCAACCACCTCGGGGTCTCCACAATGAGTTCCCCAGGTCGAGGGCTGTACTGAGACCCTGCACAGCGACCCCGACTCACAGGAGGACCCTCCAGCACTCCCTCAGACATCCCGCCCCCCCTACAGGGGAGACTAGGCCCCACCCTCCACCCAGACGATGGCTTCCCCCAGCCACCCCTAAAAATATGCTTTCCCGGAGACCCCGCACAGGGCGCCTCTGTCACACAGGGGCGACCCCATAAATCCCTCCCCAGACATCTTCCCCCCTCCCCAGATGGAGATCTCACAAGCGGAGAGCTCCCCTGGAGAGGATCCTCAGAAACCATCCTCAAAGCCACCACCACAGTCAGAAAGACCCAAGGGAGAATCGTGGGCACGAAACACATCTCCACACATGCACTCCTCCCGGCACTCACGGCCACCTCACCCCATGGAGACCTCAAAATGCTCTCCGTATGTTGCAGGGAAAAGAAAGGGAGAGCCCAGCAGAACTTCCCGCAGGAGAATCCATTTTCCTTTTATTCATTATGCAGTGGAGCCTAAGTGCAGGGCACGAAGGATTTTACACAAAATTTTAAGTTGTTAGGTATAGGTTTTCATGGAAATGTAAACATTTAACAAAGATACAGATAATAGATAATAAACCCATCCTAAGTACATTATCACTAGGTTTCAGCAATTCTTATTTTGCCATTTATTTTCAACGATCAATCCAAATATCCTAGTAGTATTTTAAATCAAATATAAGATACAATATCATTAATTTTGGAAAAACTTAAGTAACTATATCTAACAAGTGAAGATAAAAAAGAAAATATTATCACAACTAATATAATTTTTAATATATAAAATAGATAAATTTGTGTATTCACCAGAGTAGACTTTACAACCACTGAAGGTTTTGCATGAAATGTTTTAACATGTTTAGTCTAATATTTTATCTTCAGACAAAATATCAATACATGAAAACATTCAATTACATATAAAGGGCCATAGATTATGGTTGGAGGAGGAAATCGCAAATTGACGGTGGGATATTCCAAACCACTGCACTGTGAAAGTAAACGCAAGAAAGAAAATAGGGATTCCTATAGTTCCCGATAAAAGGAAAGGAAAGGTAACTCGCAGAGAGCCACTCCCTCACTTTGCCATATTCAAATGTCTAGAACAAGGCACAGGTCTGGCCATACCCAAGAAAAGATGAGGATTCAGGTGTAACAAAAGACAGCAGAGATCATGGGGCATCTTAGGATTCTGCCCCCTACATCCACCCTTGCACAAAAACTTGATCTAACATCTCACATTGGTGGGGATCTGGTGTTCTTGTAAGAGAAAAGAAAGTCTCAGAAAGTGGTTCCCTTGTAGACTCTGAGGCAGTTGCTCCTCAGCACCTTCTATTTTGGAAGCCAGAAAATTATTTCTTGATTGACAAGGGGGGCAGTCCTGTGCACCATAGGAGTCCCATTGTTGACTGCATGTCAGTAGCTGCCACCAGTTATTACAACCAGAACTGCGTGAGTAAACTTCCTCAGGATGCAGAAGCCGCTCCCGTGAGAACCTCAGCTCCTCTCCATATGCAAACAGACAGATGCAGGCAGCACCAGCAATCTCTTGAACCACTGCAGTGCACTGGAAAATGTGAGGTGCGGTGTGTCCCAGTGTTAGAATTATAGACAGGCTTTTGTTTTGTTGATAAGCGCTGAGACCATACAATGCATCGGGGCAAGATTAGCTGGGAAAATGATCTTCTGATAAGGTTTTGAACCCAGATGCTCCTCCTTTGTTGTTTTCCCGGAACTGGGTAAATTCAGTTTTCACTTCTGTAGCTCCCCTAACAATCCCAAGGCCAGGTCTTTTACTGCTTCCCTAGGTGGAGTGACCATTATCGGCCTGGGAGAAGATGAGCTGATTTCATCTCTTCCTTTATAACCATGACGTGGGGGCCTCATTTCACATGCACAGATTCCCTCCGAAGACTAGATGAGCAGACCTGAGCCACCCTGGTGCTTGGAGTAACGACAGTCTTGCCCCAATGCCACTCTCTCTTCCCAACATTGTTGAGTTTTGGGCCATCATGCATTCAGTGCCTCAGTGGACAGAGAACCAAACCCAGGTGCTCTCACAAATCTGGAGCCAATTCTAAAGTTTTTTTAGCTCCAGCTCAGCTCAGACCACTGTCACCTGCTAGGGACTGTGGGTGACTGTGGACACCACTGGCACCTGCTTGAGACTGGGTGACTGGACTCTGAGCTGGGATGTGCTGTGTCCATGTGACACTCCTTCTCTCCAAGAGTTGTTCAAGAAGGTGGTGCCCTAGGAATGCCATCTGGACCCAGTGAAAGAGGAAGGGCAGGAAGCACCTGGCACCCACTGTTCATCCCACCATCACCCAGTTCCACAATGTGGCTAACTTGAAGATACTTCCTCTTGATGAAAATCCTAAACAAACAAACAAACAAAAAAATAACAAATAAAACAAAGAAGAAAAAAAGAAAATCCTAATATTGTTGTTTCTTTCAGCAGAAGTGATATTTTCTAGTCTTTACAGTTGAGAAGTTCAGGGTCTTATAAGGCCAATTTTTCTCTTTAAGATAAGATGGCATTAGAGCACCCAATACCAATGAAATTCATGCTGATAACCCTTTTCAAAGCAGCGGCATCTTGATGCAAGTCTTTGTATTCACACAGCCGTGACATAGCCTAGGAAAGTAAGTCAAAGAGAAAACAGGTACAATTTTAAAAAGGGCTCCAACTTTTTTTTTTTCGAGATGGAGTCTTGCTCTGTTGCCCAGGCTTGAGTGCAGTGGCACGATCTCGGCTCACTGCAAGCTCCGCCTCCCAGGTTCACACCATTCTCCTGCCTCAGCCTCCTGAGTAGCTGTGACTATAGGCGCCCGCCACCATGCCCAGCTAATTTTTTGTATTTTTAATAGAGATGAGGTTTCACCATGTTAGCCAGGATAGTCTCGATCTCCTGACCTCGTGATCCTCCCTCCTCGGCCTCCCAAAGTTCTGGGATTATAGGCCTGAGCCACCGTGCCCGGCCGGGCTCCAGCATTTTTTAAAAGGCATCACTGATGAGAAGCCACACATGCAGATTCCTTTAGATGGTCCCTTTGCAACTGCTTTGGCTGAGGTTTACACTGCCAGGTTCTGAGGATGCTACTCCCTGCCCATTCACTAAGGTGATCTCCTTTAAGGGCTATGAATAGATTGCCAGGGCTATGAATAGATTGCCAGAGCCAAGAGGAACTTACTTTATTAAGTTATTTTAAAATTGGGCTCATCGCTTGATGATAGTCACATAAAAAATAAAATAGGACTCCCAAAGATTTCAAGAGTATTGTGACAAGCTCCTAACAACAATATCTGTTACCTGTGCACTTGTTCCTTCAATGTAATAAACATGCACTTGTGCCAAAAAATCGATTTACTCAGTGATTCAAATTCTACCAAATTCTTGTTAGTTACTATATACTCAAAGCAAATTTTAATGAGACAGGTTTGTTCTGGGCTATTTGGAACATCCAAGAAGTCTAATGACTGAAGCACCATAAGGTGCTACTTTACATGCACATTGTGGTAGAAAAATGTATTATTCTAAAGTATCACCAAGATACCAGAGAAAGTGCCAATTTTATATATGTCTATTTCAGTTGTAATTTTCCTGTATACTCACCAAGGGTCAGAAGCCATAAATCTTACATTACCCCATGAAAGTTACCATTTTCATTAAAAACCCATGTCCTTCCTACAGCCAGTACTTGAAACACTGGCACCTTATACAGTCTAAGTACAAGTCTCTCAGCCACTACTGCTTTGTCTAATAAACTCATGGGACTGCACCGTGATATATACGGTAGACAATGACATAAATTTGCAAACTGTGTAAGTAAAAGACAGTCAAGAGTGGTAACTGCATTGTGTATATAGGTATAATTAAGAATACAATTGCATTTATTCAAGCATTGTTGTATGAACGGATAGAGGTTAAAAACAAAGCCCATTAAAATCAGATTAAATTTAATTAAAAATATTCTGAATTATGGTCATAGCAGAGAGAATATCAATACATTTTTAAGAATATGGATCATTGGCCTGGCGCAGTGGCTCACGCCTGTAATCCCAGCACTTTGGGAGGCCAAGGTGGGCAGATCACCTGAGGTCGGGAGTTCGAGACCAGCCTGACCAACATGGTGAAACCCAGTCTCTACTAAAAATACAAAATTAGCTGGTCGTGGTGGCATATGCCTGTAATCCCAGCTACTCGGGAGGCTGAGGCAGAAGAATTGCTTGAACCCAGGAGGCAGAGGTTGTGGTGGGCCGAGATTGCACTCCAGCCTGGGTAAAAAGAGTGAAACTCCGTCTCAAAAAACAAAAAAAACTAATTAATTAATTAATTAAGAATATGGATCCTTCTATAGACCATAAAAGATAAGAAATATGATGCCAAAGAAATAAGCTCTTTGCTCTGTTAATTTTAAGGCTTTCATTTTCCAAATCACTACTTAATATGATTTTGTAACAGATTTTGGCTTTTGTGGCCTATGGAAAACTCCACTAAGTGACTTCACATCCTTACCTCCAGTTTCTGGGCTTTATCTTTGTGAAGAAAGCTAAATAGAAAATACAGGTCATGGTCATTTGCCAAGGCACACAGGTCAAAGTAATATTTTGCATAAACACTGGCAGACACATGAATATTAAACTCAAGTAGCTCCAAGAAACACTTCTCCATCTTGCTCCTGGGGGAGGAGAAACACAATAAAACCAACATAGGACAATTCTAGTCAAGTGGGTTATCTTTAAAAATATCATTCTGAGCTACTAGGATGCTCTAAATTCTATTTTGAAACACATAAAGGCTGCATGATCAGGTCCCTACACTAATGTCCAAATAAGACACAGCTGCTTGGGGCTCTTCTGCATCCCAGCACCCCAAGTTTGGGATAAGGGAAAGGTGGAAGCCTCTTCTGCACTCCTGCTGCTGAATCGGGGCTCATTCTTCAGAGTTCCCTTAGGGCAGCTGCACAACTCAAACTCCATGCTCACTCACAAGACACGCAATAGCAATCACATGACAGGAATGATGGGTGTCATTTATTAGCTCTTTAGTACCTCCAGGCATTTTTACCAGGACGATAACAGGAAGGGGCTTACTGAAGTAGAGAAGCACCAACAAGAGGACTGGGTGCATCACCACAGCAACAAATGGACCCATGGAGAGCCACCCTATTATCTCAGAGGAGGAAAAACTCTAAGGCTACAAGAAGGATTCATCCCAAATAATTACGTAAGCAAGCTACATTCCATGGCAAAAAGAATCCCCTTCCCTCTGCTCCAGCCCACAAGGCTATGTCAAAGGGGCATAACACAAGTTTCTGCTCACCTTAGTATTATGAAGAGTTGAAACTGCCACTGTGACAGGACAAGGATATTCTTTAAAGTTTGAAAGGCAGAAAAATCAAGGAGAGACATTTTGGCTAGACTAAACCCATTTTACGATGTGATTTCTAGAAGGGCCCTGGCCTTACACATGCGGTGTTGCTCCTGAGTTGGGAATGCAACCGTGAAGCGCTCAGCATCTGTCACCCCTGGCCAGAACGGGATGTGGGGGAGTTGAATGCAGTGGGAGACTAAAGGGCTGGGAGCCGTCCTCTGCCACACGGTCATCCAGCCGCCCTCACCAAGGCTAAATTAATAGGTACACAGTTAGAGTAAATCTGGCTGCTTTCAGAGTAACCCCTGTAATGAGTTAATTGCTTAAAAATGATCACTATCTAAACAATATATTTGGTTTCTTGGTTTGAAAGTTTTAATATTTTACCCACTGGCTAAGTCAACAAATGCTTGATGTTCTCCTGTAAGGGGGGCAGTTAGACCACGAGCCAAAATGAGGTGATCTCATTTGCTGAACTTAAAACCCAGCTGAACCTACTTCCAAAATTAATTTTCTGTTCAAATGTCCATAAGTCCATAGAAATGTAAATATATATATTTGAATTATATATATATAATTCGAATTATATATATATAATTCAAATAAATATGAATATTATTTCATATATTTATATATTTGAATTATATATAATATATATAAAATTATATATATAATTCAATTATATATAATTAAATTATATATATAATTTAATTATATATAATTCAAATATATATATAATTCAATTATATATATAATTCAAATTATATATATAATTCAAATAATATATGAATAGATAGCTAATCAGGACTAGACTTATGACAGGAATTAAAGGCACTTCACTATCCCTTTTTATTTTCTCCATTAGTACGTTGTAACCGTGTAGAAATACAGTACTTCACAGAATTAACATATTAATAGAAATTTAATCCTGAAGAAAATCATTCTGTGTATAGAATATGCATCTTCTGGGCTTTGTGGTTTCTTTTAAATGGCTAGATGATTGAATAGCATACCCTTTACAGACACAGCAAATTTTCCAAATAGCAGCTACTTAGTTTAACTTACTCTTTAGAAAGGAAATATTCTAGGGAGACACATAGATATTGGAAAGTTTTTTTATTTTATTATTATTATACTTTAAGTTTTAGGGTACATGTGCACAACGTGCAGGTTTGTTACATATGTATACATGTGCCATGTGGGGATATTGGAAAGTTTTAAGAAAAATCTGATCAACACCAATTTTTTAACTGTTACATTTACACTCAAAACGGGACCATTGCAAAGAGTCAACAGCAGGGGGCTGAAACAAATGTCTATAAACACTTTGATGTAATGCTTTTCAAATTCCCAAGATCATAAACAGAAGCAGCCTTCTTGGAGCATAGCTCCTGGTGTTTCACCATTCACACACCAACAGCACTGTTTGGAACCGGTCTTCTTGGAGCTAGGCTCTGCCCCACTGCTCCTGGAGCTCACTTCTGTGGAAACCTGCACATATCCCTGCATGCTCTCTGATCTTGTGACTAGAACTCAGAGCCCCAGCCAGCTGAGCTGCAGGTTTTGAGAACAATTCAGCTGCCATGATGGTAGAACTAAGTGTTCATGATTACAAATTTGAAGCCGCCTTTGCAAAAATTGTAACTAAGAAAATCGTGACAGTGAAAGAGAGCTGATCTGACTTCATCTTGCTTCTAACCTCCAAGGTGTCCTTGTTCATTCCTAGGCAGAGGCCAAACTAACTTTAGGATGAACTTAGTTTATAGTTTAATTTTGAAACAAAGACAGTAGCAGCCCTTTCCCAAAACAAACCCGCTTCCTGCCTGGGGACTAGCCTGCCTTTCCAGGACTAACAAATTAGCCACAAGATTAGAAATTATGGTTTAGGAGTCATGCGGCTGAAGGCTGCAAGAGTCTGAACCTCCCCATATTTCTCCTGGGAATAATATCACTATTGTAAAACCTAAGATCAGTGCTTGAGATATTTTGCAGGCCCTGTGCTGGGCAAAGGTGGCACCACTCCAAGCAATAAACTTGGCTCATCTGGTTTTGTGGCCCCCACCCAGGAGCCATCTCAGTGCAGGAGGACAGCTTCAACTCTCTGTGATTCCATCTCTGATCTGATCAATCAGCACTCACCACTTTCTGACCCCCTACCCACCAAATTATTCTTTAAAAAACCATCCCAGAGTTTTCAGAGAGACTAATTTGAGTAATAGTAAAACTCTGGTCTCCCGTACAGCTGCCTCTGCATGAACTAAACTCTTTCTCTATTGCAATTTGCCTGTCTTAATAAATCAGCGCTGACTAGGCAGCAGGCAAGGAGAAGTTGGGCAGTCACAAATCTTGCTTCCTTTGAGGAACCAGTTTACAAATGGATGACTATGATCAAGGCCACCTTAGTGTTTGCAACATCCAAAGTATTTCCGTTAGTTTCAAATTCATTTGCGGTCACACTCTTTGCTAAAATGGCTACCAGAAATATCACCATGATCACTTGGTTTACACTATTGGCAAAGTGGTGGCAAAAGTAGATTTTTGTTTTTCTTTTTGAGACAAGGTCTGGCTCCATCACCCAGGGCTGGTGTGCAGTGATGTGATCACAGTTCACTACAGCCTCAACTTCCCAGGCTCAGGCAATTCTCCCACCTCAAACTCCCAGGTAGCTAGGACTACTACAGCTGCCTGCCACCATGCCCGGCTAATTTTTTTAAAAAAACTGTACAGACAGGGTTCACTGTGTTACCCAGCAGGTCTTCAACTCCTGAGCTCAAGTGATCCACTCACCTCAGCCTCCTGAAGTGCTGGGATAACAGGCATGAGCCACTGAGCTCAGCCGCAAAGGGCTCATTTTTAAATGTAGATATACACTGAGGTATACCTACAACAGACACTATATCTTCAATTGCAGACATACACTGAGGTGATTCAGAATGACAGTATTATCTGGAGTCATGGACAAAGGTCACAAAACTAACTTGTCCCATGCCTGGCATGATCTTGATCTGCTGCTGCTGCTCAGTGTGAACAAGGGCTGCTCCCTTGTCTTGCACAGATGCAGCCTGCACAGCTGTCCTCACTGTCGAGCAGGCACCCAGGAAGGCTCTGCTGGAAATGCCTCCCTGCTCTCCCTGCCTGCCAGCTGCAGGTCCCTTCCCTTCACAGCAGTCATGAGGTCAGATTGGAAGGGAGCCCTGGTGAAGCTGCGTTTCAGTGTCATGTTGGTGCATCTGGGAGGAACCCCATGACTCCACAAGACTCCTTGCACTCTCATGGGCAACTCCAGACCCCAGCATGCTGCTGCGGATGTCTGAGTACCCATGGAGCTTTGTGAGTGTGGTGGGCATGGGGAGATGCCCCAGAAATGCTTCTCACACTGCAGGAGGCGAACGTTGGAGCTTCTAACTCATCAGGTTAATTTCCAAACACATGCAACACTCCCAATGGGGAGGGGCCAGGGCACAGGAATCTGTGGCTATTTAACTTCATATCTCAAGGTTCCTATAAAAACAGATCTTCAGATAAAATGGGGAGGAAAGGACCAGCAAAGGCAACTATACAAAGGGTGACTTAGGTTGAAGCTATAACTTCTCCATAGTCCAGAGTCCTTAAGACCTTAACAGTGGCCAATTATTTCAAAGGCCAAATGTTTGTCCCTTAAAAAGGGACTGAAACTGGCAGATAGCTTCTAAAAAGCTATAAAGATATTTATTGTACTGTGTCATTCTAATAGTACACTTGTAAGAGGTTTGCCAAAAAACAATCAGAAAAATGCTTTTCAGTTTATCCAGGAGGTTATTACAACAATAACACATCAAGACCTACCCATGAATGCCAAAAAATATAAACTGTTATACTAAAGCTGGATAGAGAGAAGTCTGTGGTCTTATGCCTATTTCCTTTATCTGCACGATGAAACCTATAAAGATATTGTTTACAGGGTTAACTTGGAGAGCAAATGAGGTATGGAAATTGGTTACACAGTTCACCAAAACCTTACAAACTCACATGTTCTCAACTGCAGTGTCCTTGGAATTCTGGCTGTCATCCACACTCCACAGACCATGATTTCTCCAAACCTTGGAGGCAAGAAGCATGGTTCCAAGGACAATCTTCTTCCAATTAGTAGGACAAAGATCGATGTTAGCACTAGTTAGAAGTCGTTTGATGTATACCTGCAAAATAGAGCACTGCTCTTTGATTTCAGTTCAGCTTAAGTGTGGTGATACGAACATTTAAAAATGAAAGATTTCTTCCGGTTTTGACCAGAAAGTAAGTGCCTTTTATTCTTATGTTCTGCAGAGACTTTGCTCAGACAAAGCAAGAGGCCAAATCACAGTCATAGTCAGATACCTCTGCAGCCTACTCTGCCTATAGACATTTCCAGCCCAATTTTGGTCACAGGGAGGACTGGACATCTCTGCGGGCATGAAGAGAGGCACCATCAGCACCTTCACACTCATTAAAGGCAGCACAAATTCAGGCCCAGTGCAGATTAAGGTTGTTCAGGAAACACTCCAGTGCTGTCTGTGTGCAGCATCATGCCTGGCTGGCAGGTAGATAGGAATTTTACAGGTATACCATGCTTGAATATGTAACACTCAAGTGATACTGAGAACACTGCTGTCTTCTCCTTTTCACAATAACTAACCCGCTCTTGGGACACCAGCTGAGGAACTGCAGATCAAGGTCACTTCCCAATGCCTGCCATGCAGACAGCATGACAAGCACAGGTCTCTGTGGCTGAGAAATAATCTCCGTATTCAGTGCTTGATAAGGAACACATGAGTATGAAAGGAGGGTCCTGCTCACAGCCCCTATGTTCCACGTCTCCACAATCTCTTCAAGAAAACTCATTTCTTGTTCTATAGTATCTGCATTCAGTCAATTCAGTTGGGTTTTAGGCAGAGACAGCTGTCGGCCTCTGTATCCCTGGGGTTCCTCTCAACATGCCAAGCAGTTTGTGAGACAATCTCAGAAAGTATTTTCTATCTATCCAATCTCTATCCTATAAAGAACTTGGTGAGGGACCAGCTGAGTGGAGGTTACAGAGGTGAGCGGTGAGGCGTTGCTATCCCAGAGGGTGCTCTGCAGAAGAGTATGTCTCTATGCTACTTGACATCTTTGTATCAAGATCAAAGGAAAACAGTTCATTTTAAGAGAGTTCATTTATTGTCTGAAGGTTATCAGATTGGCGGCTCAGATATGGCAATGTTCTCCAAACTCAACTGTGTTTTCAAAATCAAATGGCTCTTGAACATGATATGTTCTTATGAGAGATTCTGCTCCCTTTCCCCCTAACTCTGCACTATTGAGTATCCCAGGAATGACCCTCCCTCCCAGGGTTCAACTCCACAGCACTCATTAGAGAGCACTTAAACAGCATTGGCAAGCCCTCAACTTCCTGTCACCTTTACTGGTAAGCTGGACCTGCTGACACTCACCGAAACCACTTGCCCTCCTGGGTCAGTGAGAAAGCTCCTTTTTTAACACCAACTCTTCTATCAGCACAGTGGATCCCATCCCACTTTTGCAGAACACTGTTCCCCAAATCACCTCTTCTTGAAGCCTTTCTCCCTCTCTGCCAGAGATTTCCCCCAATATGAACGTGTTTCCTGTTCCCATCCTGCTCCCCACAGCTTCCCAGAGGCATCCTCTCAATTTGCTCACAGCATCAGGCCCTGTTGCCAGCTCCTCACCTCCCATCTCTCCTTAACCCACCTCACCCACCCCCATCACTCGCCTCAGACTCCTCTTGCAAAGGTCCTCAGAGTCTTGACACTTACAAACCAGAGCCCTTCACCCCAAGGCTCCACTCTCCAAGCTGGCCCTAATCTTGTCCAGGGAATTGCCATTGGCCTAGCTCCTGGGGACTAACACTTAAATGTGAGTTACCCTGTTTCAATCTGTGTGCACTCCCTCTATGCCTACCTTCACTGGTAGGCTGCCTGCTTCAGATTCTGAGCCGCCATGTGTCACGGCTCACCTATATCACCCTATTTGCTTCTTGGTAATCTTCTCTGCCCCAACCTTCCTCCCAACTGTGGTCTACTCTCCCCAAAGCCGTCACCATAACCTCTTAAATTAAGAACACTGCACTCCCCTCCTCAAGATCTACCATGAGCGCCCCCATCAAACTGGAATAAAACCTGAGCTTCTTCCCATGGCCTGCAAGCCAAAGGGCTCTGTGAGCTGTCGCACTGCCTGTGCAGCCTCATCTCTTCCATTCTTTCCTTCATTCCTCTCACCACGTGGGCCCCCTGGTGTTTGTTCCTTGAACACACATGAAATGTGTTTCTGTCTCAGTCTCAGCACTCATCCTACTTCCTGTCATGCCAGCACTTCTTATCGTCCTCGCTTTATAGTCAGGTCACTGTTCAAATGTGACCTCTCTAGAGATGCTCTTCCTGATCATTCTATTTGAAATAATGAGCCCCTCTCATCACTCTGTCTTTATCCTGCTTTATCGTTTTGCTATTTTCCATAACCTAAAAAAATGCTTTCCTCATTGCAACATGAGCACATAAAGACAAGGACTGTGTTCAACCTGTCCTCTTCTCTACCCCAGCACTTAGAAGAATGGGACAGGGTCGGCATGCAGGGGGTGTTTATGGAACGGACAACTTCTTGGCAGCATTTAGCCCTGTGACCACAGCCTTTCCTATCTTGACCCCTTTGCTCTTCTTTTATTATCCTCTCCTGCTCTTCCTCCTCCCACTCTAGCCACTTTACTGGGGGCTTGTCCCTTACATGCTGGTAGTCCTTACACAGCTATCTTCTGTCCACCTTCTTTTCTTTTCCTTTTTAGAGATGGGGACTTGCTATGTTGCCCAGGCTGGACACAAACTCCTGATTTCAACTGATTCTCCTGCCTCAGCCTCCCAAGCAGATGGGACTATAGGTGTGTCCCCACCATGCCCGGCTTCTCCACTTTCATTCTAAACACTTTCTCTGCATTTGAGCAGCTACTCTCTTTTTTTTTAGACAGAGTTTCACTCTCGTTGACCAGGCTGAAGTGCAGTGGTGTGATCTTGGCTTACTGCAACCTCCACCTCCTGGGTTCAAGTGATTCTCTTGCCTCAGCCTCCCGAATAGCTGGGATTACAGGCGCCAACCATGACACCCAGCGAATTTTTTGTATTTTTTAGTAGAGACAGGGTTTCACCATGTTGGTCAGGCTGCTCTCAAACTCCTGATCTTAGGTGATCCGCCTGCTTCAGCCTCCCAAAGTGCTGGGATTACAGGTGTGAGCCACTGTGCCCAGCCTTGAGCAGGTACTCTTACTCCTTATTCCTTATTTCCAGTTCAGATTCATGGTCCAGTCCCATAGATACAAATATTGACTGTACACGGCCACTCTGCTATCTTACAGGCACACCAAATTTAGCCTGTCTACAGTGAACTCCCCCTTCTTCCAATCCAGCTTTCCCTCCTGTGTCAGCTCTCTCTCTCTAGCTGGAAGTTCCACTTCTGCTTCCTGCCAGCATGTGCTGAGCATTCCAAATGGCCTGCAGCTCCATGAAGAGGACTGCACCTGATCCAATGCCCATGGAGGGATTTCTATGCAGGTGCCTAGCAGAAGCCATCTCTTCTAAGCTCTAGCCAGATGCTAAAGGAGAGGGTACTACTGTTCTAAGTATCTTTTCTCTCCTGGCTGCATGGTTGACACTCCTCTACAGGTTAGTGTGGGGAGGGGTAAATCAATCCCAGCCATCTGAAAAGGGCTTCATATTCAGAATGAGTCTCACCACAGGAATTCTGTGAGAATGATGTAGATGTAAGGACACAGCTATGGCTTAGCAGGCTACCTAGCAAAGCCTGTGTCCAAGTCTTCCTGGTACCACGTTCCTGGGCAATTTCTGGAGCAGGCACAAGAGGTCAGCAGGAACAACAAAGCATTCAGAGCAGCAGCTCCCAGTCACAGCATGCATCAGAAGTGCCCGGGGAATATGGCCTGGGACTCAGCTTAGATCTACATTGGAATCTGTTGAGGAAGAAACCAGAAATCTCTCCTGCTGCCTTTAATAGCAATTATTCTGTGATAAGAAAAGCAATGGCATCATTTTAAACCATAATGATGATTCAACTCAAATATGTGTATTTAATGGCTTGCACAGGTTTCTCTTAAAAGATCTGATGATAATTTCAGGAATCTACTTTTAGTTAGAAACATGGCCATACGCTGTGTAGGAGACCAGTTGTTAAAGATGCTTTATAAATAAGAAATATCTTACCAAAGCTACAATTGCACATGGAGCTGTTAGTTTTATGACTTGAAAAAGAGTACAGAAATGTCTGAAAATACAGTTGCGTTTGGGATCATGCTTGAAGGATTTCCCTGGAAGCTTCTCTTGCTGAAAGAAGAAAAAAGGCAATATAAATATCCACTCAAGGAAACTTTTTAAGAACTCTTAAGATGGCAGTGTTCACATTTGTGCCCATGTGTCCCTTACAACAATTTTGATGAGATAAAATGTCTTTTTATTTTAAAAATATAAACAGAAGGATATTAAAATATTTTTGGTTTTCTGTAAACATAGGCCCTAAGGTGGACCTGTGGCTATCATATATCTGAAGAAGGAAGTTTTTAAATTTTTGTAGCATTTAAACTGATTTAAATTGTTTTCTAATTCTATTTACAGAAGTTGTGCATATTTGTTAGGACTATTTACAAATATTTATATTGTTTGCTGCTATAGAAAATTATTTTTTAAATGACACATTTTGTTATTTGGATGGTATATTTACTCCCCTTAGCACACTAATTAAGCAAAGCTGCAAGTCAGCTCTTACTCCAGTGTGCCCACTTTACAACACTCCTTATATAAGATGATTAGACACAACAGAGGGAAGACTTAAAGGTGGGTGAGTCTGACTTCAGCATGAACTAAATATAACTCTATGAGACAAAAATAGAACCTCAAATAAAGCAACACTTACTGGAAGTGGATGTACTGGCTCTTCAAAAATAGCCAGAGATCTATTTGCATATCTATAAAATAAGAACGTGCATTCAAGAAATTAATTCGGGAATTGTTAATATCTTAGTAAAATATCTGCTTGGGAGTAGGGCATGGAGGGTGGAGAGAGATACCTCTTGTTTGCTTTGGTAAAATTTGTTCATCAAAAGAGTTTTTGCAAATTTTTCTCCTGGATCCTGGCCTTCAGAGGGTTTCTTGACCTGTTTTTCTTCAGCACACTATGTCGTGAACTGTGAAGTCTTTTCTACATTGATGAGCCAGACTTGCCTTTAAATATTGACCCCCGCTAACAGGCAATGGTAATAAACTATATCTATTTTCACTCCTCTAACCACATGCTGGAACGCAAGAGCATTTTATAAAGCAGTAGTGGTTGGCAATAAACTTATAACTTGTAATAAATGTGAATGAGATTCAGATTTACCAAATCTTCCTTTATTACATGTTTATCATATTTGTTTAAGTAGTTTGAGTTACAAACTTAATTGCCTTTTTATTTTAAAAGAGGCCAGTCTTAATGAACTTTAAAAAACTAACACATTGTATGCTCATTTAGGAAACCAGTGGTTCTCCAAATGTGGTTTGAGGATCCCTGAGATTCCCTAGGAGGCCCATGATGTCAAAAGTTCTTTTTTTTGAGACAGGGTTTTGCTCTTTCACCCAGGATGGAGCACAGTGGTACAAACATGGCTCACTGCAGGCTTGACTCCCTGGGCTCAAGCGATCCTCCTGCCTCAGCCTCCCATGGAGCTGGGATGAAATGTGCACACCACCATGCCCAGCTAATTTTTAATTCTTTTTTGGTATAGATGGGGTCTTGCCACATTACTCAGGCTAGTCTCAAACTCCTGGTCCCAAATAATTCTCCCACCTTGGCCTCCCAAAGTGCAGGAATTACAGGTGTCAACCACCACCTATGGCCCAAAATGTTCTTATAAGAATACTAATTCAACCTGAGAAGCTGATTGAAAATAAAACATAATTTATTACTTTCTAAAAGTATTAAGACATTGCTTGCTTTTTCACTGTTCAACACTTGTAATGATTGCATAAAAGCAAAAGTGGGTAAAACTTCTTGTTTCTCAGTAAGAATAAGGGCTGTGGTACCAAATTATACTAGTATTCATTACACTCTTCACTCCCCCTTGCAGTTTTTATTAAAATATCCTGCTTCACTTAAGAATATCCTTGATGAAACAGTAAAAATTAATGGTGTTATTAAGTCCTGAACTCTCTTTTAAGTATTCTAAGTAGTGGTGCAGGAAGTCAGGGACCCCGAACAGAGGGACCAGCTGGAGCCAAGGCAGAAGAACATAAACTGTGAAGATTTCATGGACATTTATCAGTTCCCAAAATTAATACTTTTATAATTTCTTATGCCTGTCTTTTCTGCAATCTCTGAACATAAATTGTAAAGATTTCATGGACATTTATCACTTCTCTAGTAATACTCTTATAATTTCTTATGCCTGTCTTTACTTTAATCTCTTAATCCCATTATCTCCATAAGCTGACAATGTACATCACCTCAGGACCACTATTGTACAAATTGACTGTAAACGTGTGTTTGAACAGTATGAAATCAGTGCACCTTGAAAAAGAACAGAATAACAACGATTTAAGGGAACAAGGGAAGATAACCATAAGGTCTGACTGCCTGTGGGGTTGGGCAGAATACAGCCATATTTTTCTTCTTGCAGAAAGCCTATGAATGGATGTGCGAGTAGGAGAAATATTGCTGAATTCTTTTCCCAGCAAGGAATAACCCTGGGGAAGAAATGCATTCCTGGGGGGAGGTCTATGGATGGCCGCTCTGGGAGTGTCTGTCTGATGCGGTTGAGATAAGGACTGAAATACGTGCTGGTCTCCTGCAGCGCCCTCAAGCTTACTAGGATTGGGAAATTCCAGCCTGGTAAATTCTAGTCAGACCATTTCTCTGTTCTTGAACCCTGTTTCCTGTTAAGATGTTTATCAAGACAATGCATGCACAGCAGGACATAGACCCTCATCAGTAATTCTAATTTTGCCTTCACCTTGTGATCTTTTATTGCCTTTTGAAGCATGTGATCCTTGTGAGCTACTCCCTGTTCATACACCCCCTCCCCTTTTAAAATCCCTAATAAAAACTTGCTGATTTTGCGGCTCAGGGTCGTCATCACGGTCCTACCAATATGTGATGACACCCCTGGAGGCCCAGCTGTAAAATTCCTCTCTTTGTACTCTTTTTCTTTATTTCTCAGACTGGCCGACACTTAAAGAAAATAGAAAAGAACCTACGTTGAAATATTGGGGGCTGGTTTCCCCAATAAAGTAGGAAGTTCACATAAACCACTTCTGCATACTGAAGTATGGGTATGTTAAAGAAAAGCACTTGTGATTTAATTGTGAGCTGAACAAGCAAATTTTTAACAGAACACCATTTCTATCTGAAAGTTTGACTGACTGTCATTCTCAAAAAGAAGTCAAATGAGTCTGTCATTTCAAGGAAAATAACAAGTATTTGTTGTCTATAATAAAGCTAAAGCTTTCAAGCTAAAATCAGGACTTGGAAAACTCATACCTACTACTGTGAGCTTGACGGCATCTCAATATTTGAAGACATTTTTATAATCATGGTGATACTAATGAAAGTGAGTTTTTGACACTATCAATGAACATGAATTAATATTTTCCAAATAGCCAATGCATAATATTATAAAAGACAGTAAGTGGAGAGATCCATTTATGGTATGAGAAAGATCAGTGAGTATTAGTGGAATGAATTCATTGATATGTACAATCCCATTATAACTATTTTAATAAGTCAGCACTTGTGAAGTTTTGGTGTGGTTAAAGAATACCCACGATTACCTGAAAGCTTTAAAAATACACATTTTTCCTACTACACATTTGCATGAGGCTAGTTCATCTTTTTATTTCTTCTTTACAATAAATTGCAAACAAGACATAAACAAATACACTTTGGGACCCTCAATAATTTAAGAGTTAAAAGAGTCTTACAGACCAAAAAACCCACAAATGATTCACTTTAATACTGTAAAGTAAGCACTCTACAGCTTATGTCTATAGTTATGACCTAACAGCATGTTTCATATTATACAAAGTGATGAGCTGGAATAACAAGGCAGGTTTTCAAAGAGCTCACCTGTGCTTTATGTTGTAATATATTGCCAAAGCCACACTGTGGAGGGAAAAAATATATTTGTAAGAACTGATTTTATCATTGGTTAGGCCTGAATACATGTTTTTAAAAGGGGGAGGAGGAATTCTCTCAGTGGCCCTGAAATCCTCTTGTTCAAAACAGTACCATATGAGCACTTTTCTTTTGTTTTAGCTCTCTGGCTTTATAGTGAAAATAGGAGAACCAAAATGCTAGGCAATATGCTGTTAGAAGATGTTTCTGCTGATGGTTATTATATATAAATAATTACATATTTTCCCTGTCATTTGCTATTCTACCCATAGAACCTTTCATCCTGTGCAAGTCACTTACATCTATGTGTACATAAGCTTACATTTAGGCCATATAGTAGTGTTTTGCTTGTTAAGTGGCTAGGCCCTGCATTTCAGCTGATTTAGTTCTCCATCGCCTACTCACCCATTTATCATTAGTTCCCTAAAAGCACACAATGATTGTGCTTTATACCAAATAAAGTAATTTAAAATCACCTCTGCATAATTATTAACAGAAAATTTATTAGTAAATATAATGCACACAAAAATTGATGACACTTGTAACTATCCTGAAATAAGCAGCACTAAAGAGCATAACACAGCATCATACAATATTCATGACAGGTATTTCCACATTCGTTTAAACAAAATATTAGTGAACAAATACAACTCTTCAGATGTATGTTACTGTGGTCCTCAGTCATCCTCAGATGGTGTGTGTCAGCAAACAGGGGCTTCTCTTGGATAAGTTCTGTGCTTCCATTTGCCCTCAGCATTTAAAATGAGGCTCAGAATAATTTGAGAAGGCAAATTTGAGTTGTAAAAAGTAGACCTTACAACATTATTAGCATCTAAGATCGATATTTCTATAGTGCCTCAAACAGTTCCATCTCCAAATTGATTTCAAAATCACAGAATTTGAAGTTACATGCTGAAAAGGCCACTGAACCTTACATGACACTCCATGAACCACCCATTTTACAAATAAGAGAACCAAGGCTTCAAACTGACTTGCCCAAGATCCCCACATAGTGCTTTTGTGAACTGCAGGAGTTCACAAAACACTGTGGTATGGTTTAAATTTAAGCATATGCACACATACATAGAAATGACTTGCACAGATGAAAGGCTCTATGAGTAGAAAGAAGAGCAAATGACAGGGAAACATGTAATTTATACGTTAGAACCATCACTCCTCCGTGCAAAGGAAGCAGTGGCCCCCACGTTTGCTGCACACTGGACCACCTAAGGAGCTTTAAAAACAGCCTCACCACCAGCTGGAGACATTCTGATTTAATTGGCATTGTGTATGATTTGGGCATCAGGGTTGTTGGTAAAGATCCCCAGGTGAATCCAATGTGCTGCAAAGTTTGAGAATGACTGAGTTAGGGTTAAGGTCAGAATCATCTGGGATGCTTTTATCCATATAATGATGCCTCACATACTTAACCATTTTTCTAAAAGGCTTGTGAGTGCCAGAGATGGAGGGAATGTGGAGCTGGGAAGATGCATGTGTTTGCAGAGATATATTTTGAAGAAACAGGTATAAGTGATTCTAATATGGCTCACTCATGCCTTTGAGTACAATGGACTACTAACCATGGAAAACATTTTTGAAAATCTTTCTGAAAGCCAATTTGCTCTATTAATTTGCTCAGTAAATCTTTATTTCATAAAAGTAAATATACCAAATGATCCCTTCTAAAATTTGAGAGCAAATTAAAACTAACTGTATTTCAAAAATAGACTTCCAGGCCAGGCGTGGTAGCTCATGCCTGTAATCATAGCACTTTGGGAGGCTGAGTTGGGTGGATTGCTTGAGACCAGGAGTTTGAGACCAGCCTGGCCAACACAGCAAAACCCCATCTCTAAAAAAGAAAAAAATAATCTATTTTAAAACAACTTGTAAGAATTAGACTATGCTGGAAGAAAAAGCAGAACCTCTACTTGTTTGAGCAAGGTGAAGCTTAAAAACTACTTTTGAATTGCATACTGAAACATCAGAATCTTTTGAAATCATAAGAAACCAGGGACTCTAGCCAAAACAGAGTGCCTTTTTACTTAGGGCTGAATACAAACATTAGGTGATGACTCCATAGAGGCCAAAACTCAGGGCTTTAGACACAGGTGGAGTCCAGTTCCTGATGAAACACAATTTGATCTCAATAATTGTTACACAGGAGAGAGGAAAGTGACATTATTATGAGTGTAAGTTTATCATTTTTAATTAAAGTAGAAGTTACTGACAAATTAGCTTAAAAAGCTAGTACATTAGAAACAAAATTAAGCTTGTAAGCTAGTCATGTTTATAGACTGGAAAGTTAAGTTAGGGATAAGGACATTAACATGCTAAGGTAGTAGTTCTCAAACTGTTTTCCCAAAAATCAATGCTCGTAATCTAAGGAGATGTTAATAATGTTCCCTGGATGCCTCAATGGAACTGGGCTTTGTTGTGACTTTTTAAATAAACTTGAACCCATCGTCCAAGGGTGTTTTGAAAAGGCATTTCTGATTGTGGCCTATGAAGTGCTCATGCATGATGGCAAAATGTAAATGCAGATATACTATGGCACCACTGGAGGACAAGCTGTTCCTTCTTTCAAGAGTAGTTTCCAAAGTATTACCCATCGTCTTTGGCCTGTAAAGAACTAATAATTTTTCCCAGAAACTTTCAATAAAAAGCACCTCTCCTTCCCATTAGGTTCAACACTGTCATAACATAAATGCATCAAATAAATAGCTACTCTTTTTCTGGGATTGCTTATTTGCTATCTGGCTTTCCCTTCTACCACACAGCATCTAAGGTTAAAAGAGAAACAGAAAATTCATATTTAGGTCCCAGAAATCCATATATCATTGACATCAACTTCTTAAACTGCTTGCTGAAAAGGGCAACCAAATGGCTGAAATGACAGAGGATGGCTGTGATGCTTTTAGCATATGGGGGTCTGTCACTCAGCCCTTGGCAGCCTCGTTTTACTCACCTTTCTAATGTATGTCTAAGGTCAGGCTGGCTGGCTGTGCTGTTATCTAGCAATATGGTGGAACATGAGCCGTATTTTCTATCAAGATGCCATGGAGGTATCTGAAGGAGAAGGAAGATAGAGAAAAATGTCACAGTAGGCTGAACCTACAAAAGTGTGGGCTTTTTTCCTTAGTCAAAATGTCAAATAATAAAGCATTAAGGTATTTTTTATACCCCATGACCTGCCTGAGTGTGGTATTGTGAGCAGCTCTATGGGAAACTCATTGGAGGTGCTTAACTTCTGCAGATGATGTTCGAGGAATGGGTTATAAAATGCTGCCCTTGCTATGATACCAATCGTCAAACCCAGGAAGCCTCTATTATGAATTCCCTTTATAAATAATGGGAAAAGTTTAAAGTAAGATTTCATGGTTTTTTATTATGCAGTAAAAAGCAGCTGAGATTTTCTATTTCTATTATTCATTAACTACAACAAAATGTCATACATTAAATAATATTGGCACAACAGCATTTTTATTGCAGTAAATAAAGACCTAATACTACATTCACTAAATTACTAATCCTAAATATACTCATTCAAGAGACAGTGTGATGGAATCAGAATTTTAGAGTCAGAGATTCTGTGTGCCAGGGCTGCTCAGTGACCAAACAATTGAGGGGCCATGGGTTTCTCTGGGCCTGTTTCCTTGGGGGAAGATAGAAAAAGTACTACTTTAAGACTCTCACATTTGAAAATCAGATGAGGAAAACCACTTCAGGAATTTAACTTTCACTTCGTGTTTACATAAGACTGCTATTACATTACTCAAATGAGAACTTCCGAGAATACTTTGCATTCATTTCAAAAGTTGATTGATTTTATTCTGTAAGTAATTTGACACACATCATGGCACTGTCCTGCCTCAGTCATGCTGCTCTCTGCCCAGAATACCTATTTCTTTCCTCCTTATCCCAGCAAGCTTCACCTCCTCTGCCTTCCGGGATGCCTCTGCCAGCAGCCACACCACAAAACATTTCCGGTTTTGTGTACTCGTCAGTCTAATTCACCGTGTGTTACATGATAGCAATTGCCTGCAAAGCATCCCCCTGGTGAAAAAGAAAGCCTCTCCAGGGGAGGGAGGGTCCTTCCTCTCCTACCTGCAGCTGCTGAGCACAGAATGTGGGAGAAATTAAGGAGTTCAATAAGTGCTTGACAAGTTATTTAAATCAGTTACAATTTGGAAGGTAAATCTTCCTACAGTTACAAATTGGTGAAATTTATCTGCAGTGCTATCAGAGAGGTGACAGTGAACCTTTTGAGCCCTCTAGAAAATAAACTATTTATAAAACACTTTAAAAGTATCTATTCATTTGTCGAGGGTGCAACAGTCAATATGGAAACTGCCTCATCTATGTTTAAAAAAATGCTCTTCCTGGCCGGGCACAGTGGCTCACTCCGGTAATCCCAGCCCTTTGGGAGGCTGAGGCAGGTGGATCATGAGGCCCGGAGTTCAAGACCAGCCTGGCCAAGATGGTGAAACCCCGTGTCTACTAAAAATACAAAAATTAGCCAGGTGTGGTGGTGGGTGCGTGTAATCTCAGCTACTCAGGAAGCTGAGACAGAGAATTGCTTGAACCTGGGAAACAGAGGTTGCAGTGAGCCGAGATCATGCCACTGCATTCCAGCCTGTGTGACAGAGCAAGACTCTGTCTTAAAAAAAAATGCTCTTTCTTAAAAATAATGGCAGTAACCAAATCCTAGTCACCAAATGGTTGAAGAGATCAACAGCATTATTTAAAACCACAAAATACCAATTATTTTAGCTTTTAAAAAAATAACTCACATGAGCCTTCCTTCTTCCTATTGGGATATGCTTGTCTGCATCATGTTATCACACTCTTCCATCAGGGTCTCCCACAAGTACATGAAAGACAGGGTAGGGAGGAGATCTAGCAGTTGTTTCTAAAAGTACACAGTATTTAAAAATTGCCTGTAGCCAATAATCAGAAATATCCATACAGTCTAACACCATTTTGCTTGTTTCAGATGCTTTTCACTGTAAATTCACTTACTTCTTAACAAAAATCCCAGATGTTTTTGAACAATATTACTATTTGAAGGACCAAATTCTCCTTCAAGGTAGAAATGTTTTAACTCTAGCTAAACTCTTATGTCTCTTAAGCTATTCTATTAATGTATATACTTTACATTAACAGTGTATGTATGTCAATGTACATACTTTTATTGCCTGAAAAAACAAAAATAGCATGAAAAATAAAAATGGACTCACTCAGATACTTTCATTCAAAGTGAAAGAAAGTATCCCTTAAGGTCACCACTATTAGGGGTAATACAGCATAATACTACGCGGTAACAAAAGTCAATTCTGAGAAAAAATCCATATATGAGAATAAAAAGAACAGAAAAAAAAACGCACCAAAACGCAGACTAGCTGGTACAGCTTTAGGTGATACCTGTCCCCATTTTGTTCTATTTAAAATCTCATATAATGAACATATATTGGGGTGTGTGTGTGTGTGTGTGTGTGTGTGTGTGTGTGTGCGCGCTTTGAGGAAGTCTTGCTGTGTTTCCCACCCTGGAGTGCAGTGGCCTGAACTCAGCTTACTGCAACCGCCGCCTCCCAAGTTCAACCAATTCTCCTGCCTTGGCCTCCTGTGTAGCTGGAAATACAGGCATGTGCCATCATGCCGGGCTAATTTTTGTATTTTTAGTAGAGATGGGGTTTCACCATGTCGGCCATGCTGGTCTCAAACTCCTGGCCTCAAGTGATCTGCCTGCCTCAGCCTCTCAAAGTGCTGGGATACAGGTGTGAGCCACCATGCTCAGCTCTCAAGATCACTTTTTTCTCCCCATTTTTTTAAGAGACATCTTTCAGATATTTTTAAAATAATTAATGACTTTTAGCTAACTTAAAAATTTATAACATTTTGTGTACTAACAAAAACAGCTCCATCTATGTTGCACAGCAATGGGACCACATGGCATGTATGGAGTTTGAATAGAATTCTTACACAAGGCCTGAGTGGAAAAGTGTTATGTGCTTATTGTAAGTATAAATAGAAATTGTCTGAATTAATGTCATAATTATGTTGAATTTAAACTTAGATTTACACTTATATATGGGTTAAATCATTAAATATGATGGATTGACCAGAAATTTATTTTCTCTTCCTTCTGAAATCTCATTAGTATTATTCATAAAATAAACATTATACACAGGACCAGGAGACAAGATTGATGGCAGATCATTCTGAGTCAATGATGCAAGGTGAAAAGCTGATAGAGGAGTTGCAACTGACATGGAAGCACAACTTTGGAGCTGACAGGGAGTGACTTGAACAGAAACAAGTGATCTTCTTTGTTTTGAAGAACCCAACTCAGGCTCCAAAATCAGAGGCACATGGTACCTGGGAAGGTAGGGTGAAATATACAACTGAAGCCAGCAAGGTCAACTGTAAATCTGTGCTTAGAGCCCCAAGTCCACCTCTCTTCCCATCTTAGAAGGAATTTGGATGTGTATTCTCTGGATATTTTATACCTGAGGGTTTCTGGGCTCAGAACTACTAGGGCTAAAACCTGGGAAATGGGAATAAATTGCACACACAAAGTGAAACTGCACCTTCCTTCCCAACCCTGCTTCTAGAAAGCCAGCAGCCGTGCTTGCACTGCCCAGGCAGAAAACTGGGAGATCCTCCTTGGAAGAAAACTAAACCATTGCAAAGAAAATACCCACATATAATACACTGAGTTTCCCCAAAAGAAAAGCTGGCTTGACCTCCAAATCCCCACAATGAGACCCCTCAGTGAACAAAGGTCCTGCTTCCAAATAGAGAAAGGCAAAGACTACCACACATCTCAGGGAAGCCTCCAATGAGAGATCAAAACAACAGGAAAAAGGAATTCTGGGACCAGTAAAAATTAAGGAGCAAAACTTTTTAAAAAAATCTTAAAATACCCTTAAGGAGATTTTAAAAATTCAATAGAAGGGTTAGCGCAGAAAGTCAAAGAATCTCTAAGAAGCAGAACAAAAGACAAATTGGAAAATAGGAGGGGAAGAAATTAAAGATCAATGCAGAAATACTGCTATAAGAGGCCGAACATTTGAATCATAAGAATACTAAAATAATAATAAAACAGAGAATATAGGACAATTCTCTAAAAGAGATAGTCTGCAGACTTAATGGCTGCAATAAAATAAAAGGTCCCCACAAAGCTGTATTATACAATTTCCGAATCCCAGGAATACAGAAGGTCTTAAAAAGCTCAAAAATGTAAAAATTGGTTACATATGATGTATCACACAATGGCAATAGTTTCAAGTACAGTATAATGAAAACACAATAGGGAAATGTCTTCAGAGCCATGAAACTTAGTTTTCACTCTAGAATTTTATACTCTATAACAAAAGAAGGGTTTGGAGAGAGGCTAGATCTCTATACATGTGTGTCCATGAGCCTTTCCTCAGAAACTGTGCTCCAGCACCACTGGGGAGTAACACAAGGCAGAGGGCAATGCACAGTCTAGGACTCAGGGATCCAACATGAGTGGGCGCATAAGAGTTCAGAGAGGGCTCCCAGGGAAACAGGCCCAGGGCAGCCTAGGGAAACACAGTCTATCCTGGAGGAGGATAACCAAAGGCCAAGGAAAGTTCCTTCAAGAAAAAACACAGAACATATGTTTTAGTAAATAAAACATTATTTTTGATAGGCATGTGACAAATGTTACACCACTTGGGGAAGAATAGCTGTTAAAAAAGAGGCAAAGGAACATAGTCAGAAAATTAATTCCACACACAAAATAATGAAGGAGGTGAAAACAAAGAGGCCAGCTGGGGGCTAATGGTCGTATTTGGCTTTATGAGCTATCATGGGCTAGGAAAAGGGGGATTATCTGGGAGAAGTGCAGAAGTGTTCAGATTTCAGAAATATTTAAGAGAAACAATGAAGGATGCACAAGGAGGAGGCACAGTCAGAACACTACATGACTCAGCAGTGAATAATATGTGCATAGTCATAATCATGTAAATATCAATTAGTGATTTAATAAAAAATGGGTTACAGGTGGAAGAAACGGGGAGGGAAATAAGGTCACAGTGGAGTGAGGAAGCTACGCTTTCACCTGCTATGACAGGAAGTCAGGAGAAAGTGTTGGAGAAAGTAGACTCAGCTATTTTTAATTTTATTTGAATACAAAAGATTAAATATTTAAGGCAGATATTTATATCACAACCAAATTGTGATATAATATCACAATCACCCTTAAAAATGGGCACAGTAAGCTACAGACTTTCCTGTATAAATCTGATACTTAGGAAAATAGAAGAGATTTAGAAAGTCCATCAGAAAAGGATCACACTAACAGCACCGGCTCCCTGTTAAATTTTTAAGGAATCATGACAGACTTTTAATTCAAACAATCAATTTCTTAACTTTTCAAAAGTTTACTTACATAATATAGGTGAGAGCTGCTCCTCTTTTCTTGCACTAAGAATGAAAAAATAACTAATCAATTCTGGTATAAATACCATAGAATAAAAGTAGTTGCTAATCATCTGATTATCACTATATAAAATGAGATAAAATTCCATTTTAAAAAATTCTTACCAACAAAAGTTATCATTTAAATAATCCGGCATAAAGTAAAATCTAAAAATATAGTTTTATTTTTGACCTAACAGATGTTCTATTACACAAAAATGAAAGAATCCCCATGTACACAAGGAAAGGCAAAACAAATTAGGCAACGTGTATGCCCTCCAAATCTCATGTTGAAATGTAGTCCCCAGTGTTGGAGGTGGGGAAGTGTTTGGATCACGGGGGCAGATCCCTCATGAATGGCTTAGCGCCATCCCCTTGGTGATGAGGGAGTTCCTGCTCTGAGTTCATACATGATCTTCTTGGGTTTTTGTTGTTGTTGTGGTGGTTGTTCTGAGATGGGGTCTCACTCTGATGCCCAGGCTGGAGCACAGTGCCATGATTATGGTTCACTGCAACCTTGACCTCCTGGGCTCAAGTGATCCTCCCACCTTAGCCTGCGGAGTAGCTGGGGCTGCAAGCACGAACCACCACACCTGGCTAATTTTTAAATTTTTTGTAGAGACAGGGTCTCACTATGTTGGCCAAGGCTGGTCTCAGACTCCAGCCTCAAGTGATCTGCCTGCCTCAGCCTCCCAAAGTGCTGGGGTTACAGGCATGAGCCACCACACCTGGCCTGATCTGCTTGTTTAAAAGAAGGCGGCACCTCCCACTCTCTCTTGCTCCTCCTCTCACCATGTGAGAGATGACTTCACCTTCCACCATGATTATTAGTTTCTTGAAGCCCTTGCCAGAAGCAGATGCTAGCACCACACTTCCTGTACAGCCTGTAGAACCGTGAGCCAATAAAGCCTCTTTTTTTATAAATTATCCAGTCTCAGGTATTCCTTCATAGAAATGCCAAAATACAGGACAGATGAGAAATTTAGCTAATAAAAAATTTACCTATTGTATATCTGAACCCCTAAGCAGTAGTGTTTTCTGATTCTACATTTACACATAGCTTACTTTCATTACCAAGATCTAATAGCTGACAGCTCTAAGAACCAGTTTCTGGCCAGGAGCCAGTCTTTAGATGCACTAGAATCCCTGCAAGCATCCAATGACTGATCGGTCGTCTACTAATATGTTACTGAAAAAATAAACAGGTCTTTACACAACTGAAAAGTAGCCTAGCTTAACTCAAATGTTAACATGAGTGTGCCAACCTAAATGAACTTGGTATCCTCAGGACACAAAATCATTTCATTCTAATACAGGTCCAAAGAATAAAAGCTACAAGGGGGACTTGGGCCACACTTTGTTCCCTACAATGCCTCCTTCTTTGAAGTTGAGCTGGTCTCACTGACACACATTTCTCACTGCTGAAGAGACAGGGGCATGGGGTAGGTTTTCTTCCACTTCCATACACTCTATGTGTGAGAAGCCCATGGCTCTGGAAGAAACTGAGAAATACAACAATCCTAACCAGAAGTTACCAGCTTGAGACAGGCAAAGTCCATACAAACTATGAAAATGCAGGGGAGAAACCCATTTTTTATTGTGCTGCATTACTTCAGATGTTATTATAGAAACCCCACTTCTTGTATTCTTGCTGTTGAAAACAACTGAAAAACATGGTGTATGGCTTTTTTGAAAAAACAGTAAGATTTAGCAGAATGTTACAAAAAAATAAGCAGGAGTACAGAAAACTCCTACAGTTCTAATTCTCATCCTAAAACAAGCAGGATGTGGAAACTTTACACTAGTTTCACACACTAAGGCTAACCTGGAAAACAGCACAGGCCATGTTTACATTTCCATTACATTCGAATGAAAAAGTTCTGAGTAGCATGAACATGGATGTGACAGGCTCATGCGGTTAGAGCACTGTGTAAAAAGGAGGCCAAAATCACGGATCCAATCTAGAACAACAGATTCTTTTGATTTGTTCAAGTGAACTCCAAGCTGTAGCCTAAATCTTATCACTCATCATTAACATGTACTCTTTGGAGCAAGGGAAAAATGGGAAAGATGTATGAAGAAAAAGGCATACATCCATGACTACTACACCAAATCATGTGGCCAATTAATTGCATTGATAAAAATGTCATCAAACGTGGAGACATAAAGCCTGCATGTTTCCATGAACAGTGTCAACTAAAGGAAATTATGTCACATATTAAAATAAGACAAGTAAATATATAAAAAGTTGAAATTTTTTTAACTAATATCTGAGTTCCTCTAAATACTTTCTGTAATACATGAAACAGAAAGTTTGTAGTTTTTTGCTTGGAGGAAGAAACAATATTGTCTTACCACTCATTTGATATTTTCTCAGGAAGAGTGTGCTTTCCCCTGGACAGTCAGAAGCAAAATCTGTAGAGGAAGAAGGAAAAATGTGATAATTTAAGTGAGTAGAAAAGATTCTTTTTAAAGCTACACATCCATTTTAATCACTTTTAAGAGTCTTGAGAAAAGTTTTTAGTGATAAATGTAAAGAAAATAAAGGCCACAATGTCCCAATTCTACTGGAGAATGCAAAAATCACAGAAGTTCTCCACGTATGTGGAATAAAACCAGGCTGTGTCTGGGACTTCATTTTAGAACTTGCACCTAAATAAACTGATGCCACTTTTAGATGAATCATACACACGCCCTCCTCCTTCTACTTATCAAATATACCCACCCTCCTCTATGCTGCTATTACCAGCGCATTTCAGGGAAAGTCTCAAGCAGCAAGTGATGCTGTGGTCAATTACTGTCAGACACCGGCTCAATATAGCAAATATGTTAAAATAAAGAGCTGTTTTGGGCAAAAAAACAATTTTTTAAAGAGACAGGGTCTCACTCTGTTGCCCAGGCTGGAGTGATGCAATGGTGCGATGGAGCCAGCATAGCTCACTGAAGCTTCAAACTCCTGGGCTCAAAATATCCTCTTGCAGCTGAGACTATGGGTGCAAGCCACCATACCTGGCTAATTTTTAACCCTTTTTTTTTGTAGAGACAGGGTGATACATGAGACGTACATGAAAATGTGTTGTAAATCCTAAAGAATGATATAAAGAGTCTATTTTGGGCTCTCATCCAACACTACCCATCTACTACCTAGTGTGTAAAACCACTCCGAGGCCTACCTTACACCACCAAACGAGGAAAAACTTTCACAAGTACTTGCATGCTTTGTGTATAAAGGTACAATTCATTCACATACTATCTTTGTTCATTCTTTCACGATTTTTTAATATTCCGAGAGTACAGTACTTTCCAGCAACAAAGCCACATTCATCATGAAGCTTAATTATTCAAACGTTTAAATAAATTAAGAGGTCAACCAATGTTTAAACAGAAGAGCTGTAAGACACTTCCTCTATAGCAATGAAATCTGTAGCATACATTTTCTATTTTGAAAACTTAGTTTCTGCCTAGCCTTGGGGGATGAGAAAGGGGCCAGAACTGGGCACTGGGGTAGGGAGGAGGAGAGAAACCACCAGATGCTACAGGGAAAAAAAATTGGTTGCAGGGGGGAGGTGGGGGACGTAGGCACGAGGCAAGGCCAGTCCTCCTGCCTGGTGCCTGGGCCTAGGAAACCTGGCTAGGGGCAGGAGGGAGGAGTCCGAGGCTGTGGATGCCTCTGGGGGGACCTTGGGACAGCGGCTGCCAGAGGCTCACCTGAGGGCAAACACTATCAGTCGCCTCCTTACTTTTGGGCATCTCCTGGTCACTGATGTGTTGCAGGTCATGGCCCTCGCGGGCTCCGAAATCCGACTGGGCAGGCTCCACAGCAGTGGGGTGTGGGGATTTTTTTTTTTTTTTACTGCCACCTCTGCCTCCGTGAGGTTATAGCTGCAGGGCGGTTCCGCCCACAGCACCCTGCGCTGGCTTTGCTTGGGGCTGGCATCAGGGAGCAGCATGTTCCATCTGCGGCGCCTCCGCTCCTCTCTGCCTTGGCCTACACCTTTGCTTGACGCTGCCTCATAGATGTCAGCGCTGCAGGACAGCTCCCCAGACCTCCTGCGCTGGCCCCGCTTGAGGCTGGCGTTGGTGCCCAAGCAATAGCTCAGCGTGGGCTATCCCCATGGGGTAGCCCGGCTCCTCTCCAGCAGCTTGGGCCTTCCCTTGCTTCCAAGTCTGCAGAGCTCAGCACTTCCACCTCTTCCCAGGAAAGGCACGCTGGCAGGGCCAGCCCCGGCTATGGGGCTGCACCCCACTAGCAGCCCGCACCCCGCCTCAGCCGCCTCCCCTGAGCTGACTTGTCTGCAAGGGTCCCTTGGGAATCTGCTTGGTTTATTTAGAATGGGTCTAGATGCAACAAGCCTGAGAGTTGTGACTGCGGAGAAGAGAGCACAGATGGAGCTCCTCCTCCTCCCACCGCTTCCCACCAACTGAAGGAGGTTGCCCTGCCAACCGCCAGAGCTCCCTCCCGGTTCCCAGGAACCAATCAGGCCCAGAGACCCCTCCACGTGCCCCCGCCCCCATTGTGATGTAGGAGCCTAGGCACAAGGCTCACTAGGCCCTGCCATGCCGGCAGCCCCGCCCCCACCTTTCATTCATTACTGGCTGCTGGGAGCTTTCAGGTTTCTCCACTGTGAGGAAGATCTTATGTTTTCAACAAAAGAAGAGGCTTATGTAAAAGAAAACTGGGCCGGGCGCGGTGGTTCACATCTGTAATCCTAACACTTTGGGAGGCCAAGGCGGGCGGGTCATGAGGCCAGAAGATCGAGACTATCCTGGCTAACATGGTGAAACCCCGTCCCTACTAAAAATACAAAAAAATAGCCGGGTGTGGTGGCACGCGCATGTAGTTCCAGCTACTCTGGAGCTGAGGCAGGAGAATCGCCCGAACCTGGGAGGCGGAGGTTGCAGTGAGCCGAGATCGCACCATTGCACTCCAGCCTGGGCGACAGAGCAAGACTACGTCTCAAAAAAAGAAGAAAAGAAAAGAAGAGAAGAGAGGGGAGGGGAGGGGAGAGGAGGGAAAGGGAGGAGAGGAGAGGAGAGAAAACCACCACATAATAAGATTTTAAATGTGATCATAATTGCTTTTTTTTGGTGGGGGGTGGGGGGACGGAGTGTCGCTCTTGTTGCCCAGGCTGGAGTGCAATAGCGCGATCTCAGCTCACCATAACCTCCACCTCCTGGGTTCAAGCGATTCTCCTGCCTCAGCCTCCTGAGTAGCTGGGACTACAGGCATGCGCCACCACGCCCAGCTCATTTTGTACTTTTAGTACAGACGGAGTTTCTCCGTGTTGGTCAGGCTGGTCTGGAACTCCCGACCTCAGGTGCTCCACCCGCCTTGGCCTCTCAAAGTGCTGGGATTACAGGCGTGACCCACTGCAGTCGGACAGGTAAGCACTTTTAATTAATTATGTACTAGGTGCATAGCTCCAGACAAAGAACAATGCCTAGAATTAGACTTCTGCTTATGTAGAAGGATCAAGTATAAGGGCATGAATTTGTAGACAACTAAAGCAAGTATCAGAAGAAAAATTTTAACTTAAATGATCTGCCAGGGGCACTGATTAATTCGAAACAAATTTCTAAATTTTGGAGACATTTTTATTTTATCTGTTATCTTAAAACTATCTATATATAGCTATATATAGGATATATATATATGATAGGGCCTCACTCTCGCCCAGGCTGGAGTGATTTATGTAATCTTTCTCATCCTCGGTTTATCTAAAAAATATGAATAATAACACAAATTTTATAAACTTGCTCTAAAGATTAAATGAGGGAAATATAATACTGCTCCTTCCATATATTGAATGCTTACAAAATTACAGGCATTGTGTCTAGATTTTTACATATGTACCATACGTAAGCCTCATAACAAGCCCATTTTTAAAGGTGAGAAAACTGAGACTCAGATGAGCTAAAAACACATTCACGATCATGTAGTAATAAGCGATGGAACTGGGATTCAATCCAGTTCTGTCTGACTCCAAAGGTGGTGCATCATCTTAACGAAGACCAAGTTATACCCAGCACATGAAGGTACTCAAAAGATGTGGATTCCCTTTTACTATCCCCTTATGTGTGAATTTCAGTGGCTTTCACAACCTCAGAACAACCCCACACACCCTCCCAGGTTGCCTTTCAGTGGTTCCATTCTTCCTGGGGATGATTAGGAATCTGCATATTTAGACTACTTCTTCAATCATCTCCTTACAAACATGTGTGGATAAAGAAATGAAATTTTCTAGGCCGTAGGTTACTAACTGTGAATTAATTGTCTAGTTTATTTATTGCAAATTTATTTGCAATACATTTATTATATGAAAAAAAATCACACTGTCTACTGAATTTGTGCAGAAAGATCCCAAAGTACACTGCAGGAACATCTTACTGACTACACAGGAAGGCTAGCCCAAACACACAAAGCCAGAGTCCCTCCAAAGGTCAGGTGTGGGGTGGTTCTTTCCTGTAATCCTAGCAATTTGGAAGGCCAAAGTGAGTGAATCACTTAGGGCCAGGAATTCGAGTCCAGGCTGGCCAACACAGTGAGAGCCAGTCTGCATAAAAAATTACTTTTTATTAGTATAATTAAAAAGAGTACCTCTAACATTGCTTTAGGATAGAGAGCTCTGGTCTAGAATTCAAGATATGGAGTTACGAGTCCCAGTGTGGTTACTTAACTACTGTTGTGACTGTGGGCAGGTTATATAATCACTGTGATTCTCAGCCCTTTCTTTGCAAATAACCAGCATTGGAATAGATGACTTTTTAAAGCCCTGACCAGCTCTACCATTCAATGATTCTGTATCAGTGGATACTTGTCAAAACCATAATTTACTTGTCTAGTGATGCCCTGAGGTGTTCCTGTGGTCACAGGAAATGTGGAAATAATATAGTCATATTGGTCATAGGAATTATGACCATATGGTCAAATATGGTCGTAGGAAATAAATTTGGCTTTGCTTTTAAAATGGGTGATTTAACCACATGGAATCTATGACTATTTTGAGAAACAACATGAGACAGTCAATGTGATGCAGCCTGATGTGGTCCCAAAGCGTTTCTGCAGGATAAGAAACTCACTCACAAAAGCATTCACTTCCCCGTGAATATACCAGTGAATCCTCTAGCCACAAAAACTTACAGTCCATATATGTTGTAATGTCTAATACTTGTGTGAATTACTGCATTCATAACGCACTCCTTGAAAGGGTATGGCCTGCTTCCCAAAGTCCTTGGTACTGGAAGCCCAACTTCCATTCAGTAACTGGAAAGCCCTCTCCCACCTTCTCCCATTTCCTTCCATGACTGCTGGATTATGAAGGAACTGAAAACCACAATAAGTGAGGACTGGTTAAAGAAACAAGTGATGTTTATCCTGAGAATGACTGACAACATTTCAGTGAAAAAATGAGAGTAGTATTTGAATAACTGAAGGTCTACCGCAGAAGAGGGTTTCAGCTGGATGTGTTCTGCAGACTCCTAGGATCCACGGCATGGTAAGCCCCTAGTGAATGTTTATTGAGTGAATAAATCCTGTACTGCTCCCACAGCATGGACCAAGACCATGGGCCGCCATGGGGTCCTGCGGCTGAACTGGGCCCTGGCAGGAGCAGTCCCCTCACTCTCCTTTGATCAGAAGGCTGCATGTGTTCTACATTTCAGAAGTAACCCTGTGAACTGGGACATCCAGACTCCAAATGATGAGTAACATTTGCTTCGAATTTTTCAAAAAGCTTTATTCATCCAACAGTTGGGTTATTAAAAGTTACCTTGGTAAAATAAAGTACTTTGGCTTCACTTTCTATAAACAGTTTCCTCAAACACTGACTATGTGTTACATCAGAAATCAATGTGTTCTGTCTACTTTGTCTCTGTTATCTCAAGAACCAATTTTCCTTATCTTCAATTAGTCTTAGTGTGATATGTAACAGAGTCAGGTGTTATCACTATTATCTCAAAAGCGTGTTTCTTTTTTTATTTTATTTTTTTATAGAGATCAGGTCTTGCTCTGTTGCCTAAGCTGGTCTCGAACTCCTGGCCTCAAGCAATCCTCCTGCCTCGGCCTCCCAAAGTGTTGGGATTATGGGTGTGAGCCACCACAGCCAGCCTGAAAATCTGTTTCTTAAGGAGTAATGCAGAACACATAACATTCTTAAATATACCCCAGCCTTCTCCAGCTAAGCCAAATTGTTTAAGAGTTCTATAATATTTAAGATTCAGGATACTGTATTTCAACCTCCCTAAAAACAATGTATTAAATCTTAGAATGCATGTGCCATAATGTCACTTTTCTGACAAATAGTAAAACATTTCATGAGCTTGGTACAATAACGTGAAATAAAATGGTAAATTTTAAAAAATTAAAATATACATCCTGCTTTTTTTTTCAGTTACATATGTCAAAAATAGTAACCTAGACCAAGACATCCATTTCAATCAGTAGACATTTCAAGCCACAAGATTTAACAATAAACAATATTGGGTGTAGGTAACAATCCCCAGCTGGATCAGGGAAGCCCTAGCTCTACGTGGTATTACGGTATAAAGATAGTGTCTCTCTTCACTGGCAGAGAGGGATGGCCTATCCCTGAATACAGGATGGGGTCAGTCTCACTGCACTTTCATGAGCCATTTTATCAACCACACTTTGCATTTCTTTCCTAAGCTAAATACACATCTTTTTGGGAGAAGACACAGCACTACATGGTACCAAATACTAACCAAAAAAATCATACAAAAAAAAACCAGATAAATAATAAAGCATTCAACTGCTAAAACACAGCAACATTAAGCCACCTCAGTTTTCTTTTCCCAATGCTTGCAACACCCTCAATCCCTCATCTTATGATGAGGGAACAACATCTTATGATGGGGAACAACATGTGGTATGACATGGGGGAGTTACATCTCAACACTATGGAAAACTTTTAGAGCTCAACGTTAATTTCCAACAGAAGTAAACAGCTAATGAGTCTTTGAAACTTTTTTGTTCAATGATGCACTGGCAAAAATAGCTCATCCTCTTACAATATTTTCTGTTATCGCTGTAGTTATGTGAGAAAGAGATTTTCTATTTGTCTCAACTGAGAAGACTTCACTGTCTGATTCTTTCTTCAGGAACCATGCACCTCCTTGCACTGTCACTCAGCTACTCAGAACATCTCTTGAACATCTCTTGAACAATTCTGTTGTTGGAAGTTTATAATGTCAGGTGCCAGCACACTTGAAATGCGTGAAAATGAGGTGATACACACAACACTTCTGTTCAAGTTTTGATTCAGCCTGCCTCAGTGTCCTGGCCTCTTTTCTCACTGGATACAATGGACAGGCCATCAGCATCAGACTGTGTTCCGAATAATCAGAGGACATTGTGTTTTGCTTTCATCTGAAAAGATAATAAATAAATCAGGAAACCAGAAAAAGTCAAAGCCATGAGTGATTATGATGCCAGATACTGGCTATTTTTCTCAGATTAACTGTCCAAATGACCAGTGCTACCAGACAGTCACAATCTTGTCTGTGGGAATGTGAGAGAGAGACAGACCCGCTTACAGTAAAATTTAACAGTGTTTTCCTAGTTCCTTCCTGGCTCTACTGATGTCACAGTCCTAAGATTAATTCATCAAAGTTTCATTAGGGATGATCACAGTTTTTAAATGGGCTTTGTAGAAAAGTTAAATCATTTTAAGAAACAGCAGCTCCTATTGTATTGAGGAGCTAACAAGTTTTGGTGGCTCTTCTGTTAAAGTAGCATAGATTTCTAACATTGTTTGATCTTAAGACAAACAAAACATTGGTTTTTTCATTTTCCTTAGAGTATGATTCATGAAATACTTTACATAATTTTAAATGTTCAAATTATAAACAAACCTTTCTAATACAAAATACAGAAAGTCCAATCGCATACATTAAAAGTTTGCAATCACATTATAGAAACACCATCTTTTTTTTTTCTTTTTTTTTTTTTTTTTTTTGGAGAGTCTCACTTTATCCCCCAAGCTGGAATGCAGTGGCCTGATCTGCAACCTCTGCCTCCCAGGTTCAAGAGATTCTCATGCCTCAGCTTCCAGAGTAGCTGGGATTACAGGCACCTGCCACCACGCCCGGCTTTTTTTGTATTTTTAGTAGAGACGGGGTTTCGCCATGTTGACCAGGCTGGTCTCCAACTCCTGACTTCAGGTGACCCGCCTGCCTCAGCCTCCCAAAGTGCTGAGATTATACATGTGAGCCACCGTGCCCGCCCGGAAACACTATCTTATTATTGCACAGCTTTAATAATGTAAAATATTTACTCACAACTGCTTATAATATTGTCAATAATTTATGATATTTTGTCTGTAACTTGTTCCCCAGTCATTGGGCTACAGACCACACTAGAAAATAACTGTCCACATAGTGGCTACAAACATTTAAATTTTAAAAAAAAGCTTCTTACCGACAGGTACTTGTACACACAAAGCATTCTCTCTTTCCCAATAGAACTTCACATTGCATTGAAATAATCCACTTATTTATAGTAAAACAAATCTTGCTTAAAAAAATTTACCTAGCCAGATTTATTCAGAAGTAGATAAACTTCATTTAAGGTTAGGGTTATTATATTGTCTGTTGCCCACATAATCTTAACATTATAAATACGTCAGAGGAAGACACTGTCATAATACACAGCATTTGGACTACTAAACCACTTCTTTTAAGATGAAGAGTTCTAAAAACATAGTTCAAGTGTCTAATTCGAGCAAAACCAGCGAGTTTCAGTGGAATACTGCAGGAGACGCCCTTTCTCCCTCTAGGGATTACTGGGTTTTAGTAGAAAAGAAGTGAGGATTGCCTGGGCTCTTTCTGTTCCTGAGGCCGTTTTGCAATCACCTTTTTTTTTCACTTAAAAGGTTGCAGAGTTCTCAAGAACAGTCAGACTCACTGTTGAAGGACGCGAGTCCCGTGTGTTGAGCTAGTTTAGACCATCTCCTTGTTCTCCTGGGTAACCTGGCGAATGGACGCTGCCTGCTATGCAGGCTGCTGAGGTGCGTTGTCCAGACTGACAATGGGAGGGCTATTTTGCGCTCTTTGCACCCCAGGGTACCCAGAGGGATGGTGCAGCAGCCAAAACTTCCTGGGATCTGGGAAAAGCCTCTGTTCTGAATGATGGAAATCTCATTGTTCTTTATGGGAAGCTCCTGGGGGTGAGCTGCAGCTTCCTGGTTCCAAATATTGGGGTCGCCATTCATTATTTGGGCTGTCAGATCCTTCCGGAATATTTCAGAGAACTTCAGGCCATCATCCCCTAGCAGAGCCATGGACTGTTCCACCGCGGCAGCTCGCCTTGGGGGAGGTTGTGAGGGTGGTTATTCCACATGTGAGTGCCAAGTGTACCTGGAGGTTGCCCTTAGTGGTGAAGGCCCTACCGCAGATGGCGCCGCTGAACGGCTTCTCCCCAGTGTGGGACCGGGCGCGGGCCTGCGGAGGGCCCTCCTCTCTGCTGAGGAACTGCAGGCTGAAAGGGGACCCTCCTTGCCCACCGGCGGAGGTGGCGGGGGCGGTGGTCAGGTCCGGGGCGCCTCGTGGCCAGGGACGGGCGGGCGGGCTGGCTGTCCAGCCTCTGGGTCCTGAGCGCTATTCCCTGGGCTCCTCCAGGTTGCCCAGGTCGGGGACTTGGGGCGGAAGCGCTTGCCCAGCACCAGGACAGGTTCTATGCCCCGGTCTTCCGCAGCGACAGGTTGGGCGCTGGCCCTTGCAGCGCTTCGCGGGGGCGGACAGCAACAGGAGACATTGGCTGTGGCGCGATGCCGACCAGCAGGCGGGGAAGACACTGCTGTGAGAGCTGAGGCAGAAGAGGACTTGACAGGCTGGGCGCCGAGCTCACGAGGGGCCCTGGCTTCAACGCTGAGGCGCGGACGCCAAAAAGGCTGCGAGAGGCGAGACCCGCGATGTTGGCGGTAGGGTCGCGGGTCGGTTCCGCGCTGGGGGCGGCCAAGGATAGGAGTCGGGAAGAGCAGCTGGAGAGCCGGGGGCGCTGGAGCCGGCGCAGGCTGGGACAGGAACTGGGAGCCTGAGCCCGCGGGGTTGGCTGGGGCCCGAACGGAGAGCCGGAGCGCCCGGCGCAGGTTCAGCGGGGGCAGCTGGCTGGCCAGGGTGGACGCGCTCGGGACTGAGCGAGGGCGGCAGCCGCGGCGGTGCCTGAGGGCCCCGGGGCTGCGGATCTGCTGCATGAGCTGTCTCTGGGGGCCCTGCCTGCGCGGAGCCAGGAGCCGCTCCAGTCTCCCGGCACAGCCACCCCGCAGCCTGCCTCCAGGCTCCCTGTAGGAACCGCGCCGGCGCCACCTGGTGCTCAGCGACGTCTCCAGCTCCTGCGGTGCTGGGCGCTTGGGCCTCTGGCGGCGCCCAGGGCAGGTCCCCCATCCCCGACGTCTCTGCTTCTACAGGCTTGGCATCCTTCTCTGCGGGCCTCGCCTTGCCTTTCTAGCGGGCTCCTCAGAGACCACTCTCTTGGCTTGGTCTCTGGGCGAGCTGGTAGGAGAAGGTTCTGGAGTCCTCGGCGGGTGGGGCCCTAGGCTGTGTGCAGTGAGATCAGCAGGGGCGGGGTTCAGCGGCTCTTCTGCTCCAGGAAGTCCAGCTGCTGGAGCTCCGCACAGTTTCTCGCTGAAGTCGATCTCCGGCCAGCTGCTGCTCTCCACCTGCTGTCTGGGTCGTGGGGCTTCCCCCAGTGGCCTACTGGGGAGTCCCCACCGGGAGCAGCAGCTCCTCCTCCATCTTGAGGAGTGGGGCTTGGCCTGCTTGCACCCAGACAGCCTGTCATTGGTGCCTCTCAACCATCTACACGCACACATATGCACACACAACAGCTCACTCTGTGACATGTGCATGCGTCACACACACATACATATGTTCAGACACAAGCTGGTTGTCTGAAAGATTGAACAGCTCAGAAAACTACCAAGAAAAAAAAATAAACAGGGGACGTCTCTGAGTTAACAGAAGGGAAGATAAGAAATGAGGTTGCTAGAATTGTTTATGTAATAAATATAAATCAAAAGATATATATTTTAATACATCCAATATTATAGCAAAATTCTACCTTATGCTCCAGCATCCCTGCCTTCAGACCATCATTCAGAGCATGGTGACTCTCCGTTTATGCTGAATTCCAATGATACGGGAAATTTCTCATTCAAGGCAAATTGGAAGCAGCGATCACATATCTCTACCTTTATTAAATAGTCACACTGTCAGGAGATTGACCTTCACTAAAGATGGAACTATTTTATATTAGAATATGGTATACTTCTGACATGATTTTAGTGTATAATGTTTAAGAAGCAAAGAAAAATAAACCAACAGTTACAATTCTTTAAATCTGATTACTTCAAAAAATATACGTATTCATCCTGGAAAATTCACTTGTATGAGTTTCCCCAAAATGCTGAATATGTGAGACATCGCTTCATTTAATTCTCCTTCTTTCTCTATGTAATATATTTTAGAATTCTAGCTGTTAATTTATTACTGTTTTATGTTTTTCAAATTACAAAGAGCTATCCGTAACCGGTATTTCAGAGTATTCCCGGAAAGACTACAAAGCCATCACTAATCTTTTAAAAAAACAATGACTCACTAACAGACGGCATTTTGACATTCATGTTGCTCTATGGTAAATACTTTAAAGACACATTTCTGGGCATCTCATTATCCTTGTGGATAAATAGTTCCAATTTTTACTTGAATTACTCCACTTCATCAAAAAGTGAAAGATAAATTAGGAAAATTATTTCATTTTAAGAAGCATACTGTCAATAATATTAATTAGAAAAAGAGTCAATCAAAGGTTAAAGAGATTACTTGTACTTTTAACAAATAAAATCATTTGTGCTTTATGCAAGTTTGTTCATACAGAAAAATCGGAACAATATCTGTTAGGGAAGATGATGATAATGCCAGTACTCATGATGACACACAGCAATGGTGAGAAGCAACTGAAACCAGAAGAAGACTGGAAAAAGGGCGAGGGGACACCACTCCTTAGTTTACACTTGGAAGTAGAAGCTTATTTGCTGAGGGTTTATCCTAAACTCATCATCCTAAGATTTTTGTTTCTATAAATTGAAATATAATAAATATAATGAATTGGTTCTGAACACCCATTAGAACAATCACACTAAATAATTAATATAATTTTTAAGAAAAATGGGATAAGTGAAAAATATGTGAAGGCAGTTTAAAGAGAAATATGACAGTCTTATTAAACAACATACTTATTTTATAAAGTGTTATAAAATGTTCATCTTAACTTGTAGTATTTCTGTACACTTTTGCTTGACATATGTTGTTAAGTCAATATGTGAATCACAAAATACATAAAATCTCCTTTCTCTTAATGCTTTTATATTGACATGAGTTTATTGTGCTATAGGATGAATGTTTATGCCCTTCCCCCAAAATTCATATGTTGAAACCTAACGCCCAGTGTGATGGCATTTGGAGGTGGGGTATTTGGTAGGTGATTAAGTAGTGAGGGTGGAGCTATAAGAGTTTATAACAGATTTCCCTAAAATTTAATAGCTTGGTTAAATAATTTTATTGTCTGTCATGGTTTCTATGGGTCAGAAATTTGAGAGCAACTTGGCTGTAGAGTTATGGCTTGAGATCTCTCATGAGTTTTAAATCAGGTATTATGGACCCCCTCCACAGGTCTGCTTGACTATCCTGCTTGAATTTTCCACAGAACTAGGGACCCAACACTCTTAGTCAATTTTTTGAAATAGTTTTAGTAGGAATCTTACTAGGTCTTCTTTATACAACTGGTAAAATTTGATTATGAATTCATCTGGTCTTGGGCTTTTTCTAGTTGGTAGGCTTTTTATTACTGATTCAATATCACAACTCATTGTAAGTCTGTTAAGGAATTCAATTTCTTCCTAGTTCAATCTTGGGAGGTTGTCAGTTTGCAGGAAATTTATTCAATTCTTCTATATTTTCTAGTTTGTGTTTGCATAGAGTGTGTGTGTGTGTGTGTGTGTGTGTGTGTGTGTTTAAATCTCAGAAGTTTTGTATTACTGTGGGGTAGGTAGTAATGTCCCCTTTGTCATTTCTTATTGTGTTTATTTAGATCTTCTCTTTTGAATCTTTTGGATTTTTTCATTGGTCTAACTAGCAGTCTATTAATCTTATTTATTCTTTCAAATTATTTCCCATTATTTTCAAAGATTTTCTAGATTTATTCCTTAATCTTATTCTTTACCCTAAAGTCATTCAGGAGCAGGTTGTTTAATTTCCATGTAATGGTATTGTTTTTAGAGATTTTCTTAGTATTCATCTCTATTTTTATTGCACTATGTTTTCAAAATGTGTTTGGTATGCTTTTGGTTTCTAAAAATTTGCTAAGGATTGTTTTATGACTGAATGTCTGTTCAATTTTAGATTATGTGCCATGTGCAGATGAGAAGAAGGTATATTCTGTTATTTTGGGGTGGGGAGCTCTCTAGAAGTCTATTAGGACCATTAGGTAGGTGTTAAGGTCCCAAATATCTTTGTTAGCTTTCTTTCTGGATGATCTAATATTGTCAATGGGGTATTGAAGTCCCCCACTATTTTTGTGTGATTATCTAAGTCTCTTCATAAGGCTGTAAGATCTTGCTTTATAAATCTGGGTTCTCCTGTATTGGGTGCATATATATTAAGGATAGGTTTTTTTTCATTATGTAATTTCCTTGACTTTTTTGTTCTTTGTTGGTTTGAAGTCTGTTCTGACTGAAATTTGAATAGCAACCCCTGCTTTATTAGTTTTCCTTTTGCTTGGTAGATTTTTCTCCATCCCTTTATTTCAAGCCTATGGATGTTATTGCATTTGAGATGGGTCTCTTGAAGTTATAGTTGGATCTTGCTTCTTTACCCAAGTTGCTACTCTGCCTTTTAACTGGGGGGCATTTAGCCTGTTTATATAAGTTTAATGTTGATATGTGTGGATTTGATGCTGCCATTTTGTTGTTAGGTGGTTATTATGCAGACTTCATTGTGTGGTTGCTTTATACTCTCAATAGTCTATGTATATGAGTGTTGTGTGTGTGTTTGGTTTTTGTGTGTGTGTGTATTTTTAGTATAAACAGGTTTTCACCACATTGGCCAGGCTGGTCTCGAACTCCTGACCTTGTGATCTGCCTGACTTGGCCTCCCAAAGTGCTGTTGGGATTTCAGGCATGAGCCGCCATGCCCAGCCGCATGACCACATTTTAAGAGGTGTATTTACAAACATGTACAGAAAAAAGAAGGAAGTTGTTAACAGTGGTTATCTCTGGCTGGTAGAACTACATGTGACTTTTAAAAAATACATGTTTTAAGTTTTCTAAAATGAACACATATCATTTACTAAAAAAAAGGTAAAGGAAAAAACTCAGTGGTATATGTATCAGTATATATGTAATGCTTTCTGCTTGGATACTGTTATGAAAACCTGAAATATCTTGAAATATGATAACAGGTTTCTCATGTATCACATAAACTCCAATGAAAACTTCAGCTTCCAGCTCCTTGTTAACTACCATAATATGTACATGAAACCTATTCACAGAACTCTGGAGGTTAATGCTTTACTTTGAAGGAAAAAAAAATCATTCTACAACTTAACAGGAAAAGGATATCCTCTCTGTAGTTTGAAAGGAAACTGGAGATAGAGCTTTATAAAAAATGCATTAGTTGCTAACCAAGAAGAAACCCATCTGAGGTGTAAGTGCATTTCACACATCAGTTCAAAAAACAATACTGCCAAGGCCTTTGGAATTTGGAGAGAAAGACTACCTAAGAAAAATAAAATATGGGGTGGGTTGTTGTAAACAAATAAGTCCAAGAACCTGATGAGTTCAGGCCACAATTGTGCTCTCATATGCTTCTTCCTGATCTATGCAGTTTTACACAGACCTGGCAGGTGATGTGCTTTGGAGAAACAGATTTGTGACTCTCAAGCCATGTGTAGTGCTGATTCCCTCTGCATACTGTCAAACACATATTGGACTTGCAGTGCATGCTGGGCACTGTTTTTTTTGTTTTGTTTTGTTTTTTTTTTTTTTTTTTTTTTTTTTTTTTTTGCTCTTGTTGCCCAGGCTATAGTGCAATGGCACGATCTTGGCTCACCGCAACCTCTGCCTCCCGAGTTCAAGCAATTCTCCTGCCTCAGCCTCCCAAGTAGCTGGGATTACAGGCATGCACCCCCACACCTGGCTAATTTTGTATTTTTAGTAGAGATGGGGTTTCTCCATGTTGGTCAGGTTGGTCTCAAACTCCCAACTTCAGGTGACCCACTCGCTTTGGCTTCCCAAAGTATTGGGACTACAGGCGTCAGCCACCACGCCCAGCCACTGGGCACTGTTCTTAAGTTTCATTCCTGCAGTTGAACTCAGGGCATCCTCAAAACCACCTGTATTAGTCAGGGTTCTCTAGAGGGACAGAACTAATAGAATGGATATATATATATGTGTGTGTGTGTGTGTGTGTGTGTGTGTATATATATATATATATGAGTTTATTAAGTATAAACTCACACATGATCACAAGGTCCCACAATAGGCCATCTGCAAGCTGAGGAGCAAGGAAGGCCATTTCGAGTCTCAAAACTGAAGAACTTGGAGTCTGATGGTCAAGGGCAAGAAGCATCCAGCATGGGAGAAAGATGTAGGCTGGGAGGCTAAGCCAGTCTAGCCTTTTCACATCTTTCTGCCTGCTTTATATTCTGGCTATGCTGGCAGCTGATTAGGTGGTGCCCACCCAGATTAGGGGTGGGTCTGCCTTTCCCAGCCCCTGGACTCAAATGTTAATCTCCTTTGGCAGCACCCTCACAGACACACTCAGGATCAATACTTTGCATCCTTCAGTCCAATCAAGTTGACACTCAATGTTAACCATCACACCATCCTATGAAGTAGATACCACTGCTGTCCCCACTTAACAGATGAAAGAGGTGAGGCACCTTGTTCTAGCTCACATAACTAAGAAGGAGCTTTTTAGCTCACATAACTAAGAAGGAGTTTTTTAGCCAGGATTGAACCTAGGGAGTATGATTCCAACTCACATTCTTAGCATCTGTTTTGCCTGTCAAGTAGCCTTATTAGTGGAGAGAAGCACCAGAATAACCCCAGGGGGGACCTAGCCCATGTGATTTGCTTTTACAGTTTATACTTCAGTTTGCACAAAAGCATTGAACCAGGAATGATAGCACATGTTGATTAAATGGTTCTTATGAGCCAGGCATTGCCTTAAGTATTTTACAGATAACAATTGCATTATCCATTATAAGCCTAGGAGTACTATTATCCCCATCCCCACTTCACAGGTGAGAAGACTGAGTTACAGAGAGTTTAAGTAACTTGCCCAAAGTCACATAGTTAACAAGTAGCAGAGCCAGGATCCAACCCCAGGCCTTCTGATCTAGAGCTTGTACTGCTGATCTCTATGCTGTGGGATGTACTTCTAGGGAAATGTGTTGTATACTGGTTCTATGTCAAGCCTTGTTTAAAGTGTGTTATTTGGATCATCTCATTGGAAATGTCCCTAACACACTGCCAGAAAGCAGCTGGGAAGTAGTTTCTTCAACCTAACAGCTGGTTCTCTATTAAAATGTTACCAGGCTGAGCGCAGTGGCTCACGCCTGTAATCCCAGCACTTTGGGAGGCCAAGGCAGGTGGATCACAAGGTCAAGAGATCGAGACCATCCTGGCCAACATGGTGAAGCCCCGTCTCTTCTAAAAATATAAAAATTAGCTGGGTGTGGTGGCGCACGCCTGTAGTCCCAGACACTCAGGAGGCTAAGGCAGGAGAATTGCTGGAACCCGGGAGGCAGAGGTTGCAGTGAGCCAAGATCGAGCCACTGCAGTCCAGCCTGGTGACAGAGCAAGACTCTGTCTCAAAAAGAAAAAAAAATGTTTCCAAGGAAACCTAGCAGAGTGATTCCAAGAGGGAGTTTTGTGATCAGAATGACCAGTGTGGAAATAAATACTGGCTATACCATTTTTTTTTTTTTTGAGACAGGGTATTTCTCTGTCACCCAGGCTGGAGTGCAGTGGCACAATCTTGGCTCACTGCAACCTCCACCTCTCTGGCTCAAGAGATTCTCCTGGCTCAGCCTACCAAGTAGCTGGAATTACAGGCACACGCCACCACATCTGGCTAATTTTTGTATTTTTAATAGAGATGGGGTTTCACCATGTCGGCCAGGCTGTTCTCAAACTCCTGACCTCAAGTGATCCGCCTGCCTTGGCCTCTCAATCTACCACTTATTAATAAAGCTCTAGTGCCTTTTTTTCCTTCATCCCCACCCCCGACCCCCTACCCTCTCCATCATCCATCCATCCACCAAAAGAATTAGGAGAAATTGAAATGGCAGTCAAACTATCCCCAGCATGGTGAAAGCCACCAAAATCACTGGGAGCCCCCACTTTACTGGAGAGACATTTGCTGCAGGTGGCTGAGGGATCAGGAAAGAGGTGAGGCTCTTGAACGGTGCTCCTCGAAATGGGATTCCCTAGACCAGCAACATCAGCGTCACCTGGAAACATACTAGAAATGTAGCGTCTCCAGCCCCAGCCCAGACCACGAGCTCAGAGGCTCTGGGAGCAGGGCTGGTGTGTTTCATGATGCCCTCTAGGTGATCCTGGTGCACATTCAAGTTTGGGAACGACAGCCCAAGGAGATGTGGAAGACAGGGTGAGGCCCCAAGCTCAGAGCCCTGAGTGGGATACGAGTAACTTGGAAGTAGTAATAATTAGGTGGGAACTCTCTCCCTCAGTGAATTGGAGCAAATTCAGTTTTCCTTGTAAAGGCTTCACTGTCCCTTTCCTTCTGATGGAAGCATCTAGGTGGCATGACAGAAGCATCTGGAAGGGCCAGTCCTCCAGGTGAACCTCTGGAGGTAGGTCAAGTCTGGGAGCACAGACAGTTGGTGTTGCTGTTGGGAAAAGTTTAATACTCGGTCCCCTCTTTTATAGCTGTTGGAATTGAGGCCCACTAAGGGCAAGGAAGAGGCAGAGCCAGGACCCAACACCGGAACCTCTGACCACATAATCTGCCTGTCAGCACCTTTCCCCAAATCTTTTTTGGGCCCAGTTGTGTGTTCCTTGGACTTCGCTCTCTCCTCCCCTTGTGTGCATGCTCTGGAGTGTACGTGCCCACCTAACTCTGCTGGGCTTGACCTTCACTCTGCCCTGCAGAACCACCCTGAGTCCCACAAACATGATGTTCTGGAAGGCCTCAGTTCCCCCTCGGTTCCTTAGCAGCTCTGGCAGGTGCTCAGGGGAGACAGAGGCACCGAGGGGAGGCAGAAGCGCCAAGGGGAGGTGGATCAGATGAATTTGGAAAGTTCTCCTGAAGAAGAGAGTAGGGAAGAGGAGCATGGCTTGGCAGAGAAATGTGGAAAGGCAAGACATTTGAGAAGACATAGAGGTGAAACCCACTGATACTTAGAGAGGCTATTTCTTAATGCAAAGGAAAAGTACTAGTAATATAAAAACAAAACTTTCACTAAAGCATATGGGCTATATGATCCCACTTTATTTTCCAAAGATGTATAGATTTACACAAGAGTCTGGAAATCTACGTCAAAACATTTGCAGTGATTATCTCTGGATGCTGCAATTGCAATTTCTGTTTCATTTTTTTCTTATTTTCTGCATTAAGCATTCATTAAATTTTTTTCAGATATAATTCATATATCATAAAATTCACCACTTTATTTTAAAGCGTGCGATTCACTGGTTTTTAGTTTATTCACAAAGTTGCACAACCATCATCACCCTCTAATTCCAGAACATTTTCATAACCCCAAGAAGAAACCCTGCACCCAGGAGCAGTCACTCCCCAACATTGCTCCATTCCCAGCCCGAGGCAACCACTAATTACTTTCTCTCCCTTTGGATTGGTCTCTTCTGGACATTTCATATAAATGGAATCATACAATGTGTGGTCTTTTGTGACTGGTCTCTTTCACTCAGCATGTTTTCAGGGTTCACCCATGTTATAGCAGGTATCAGAACTTCATTGCTTCTTATTGCCAGATAATATTCCATTACATGGATAGACTGCATTTTATTTATCCATTTATCAGGCGATAGACCTTTGAGTTGTTTCCACTTTGGGGCTATTATAAATAATGCTGCTCTAAACACTTGTGTACCAGGTTTTGTGCAGACATATATGTTCAGTTCTCTTGAGTACATGGCTAGGTGTGGGATTGCTGGGTCATATGGTAACTCTTATGTTGAATTTTTTTTTTCTTTGAGACAGGGTCTTGCTCTGTCACCCAGGCTGGAATGCAGTGGCACAATCATACCTCACTGCAGCCTCGACCTCCTGGGTTCAAGCAATCCTCCCACTTTAACCTCCAGAGTAGTTGAGACTACAGACACATACCACCACACCTGGCTAACTTTTTCTTTTTTAGAGACTGAGTCTGACTATGTTGCCCAGGCTAGTCTTGAACCCCCTGGGTTCAGACCATCCTCCTGCCTCAGCTTCCCAAACTGCTGGGATCACAGGTGTGGGCCACCACGCCTGTCCTATGTTGAACTTTTTGAGGAAACACCGTTTTCCAAAGAATTTGAACCATTTTACATTCCTACCAGCAACGTATGAAGGACCTGATGTCTCCACACACTTGCTAATACTTGTGATTGTCTGTTTTATTATAGCTGTCCTAGTGAGTGTGAAGTGGTATCTCATTGTGGTTGTGATTTGCATCTCTCTGATGATAATAATGCTAAGTATCTTTTTAAAAAATATATTTTTACATATTTTTATCTTTAATTGACAAATAATTGTATATAACTATGGGGTATGATGTGACATTTTGACGTATGTGTACATTATGGAATGATCAAATCTAGCTAATTCACCTATTCATTACCTCACACACATCATTTTCTGTGATGAGAACATTTGAAATACATTCTCTTAACAATTTTGAAATATACTATACGTTATTTTTAACTGTCACCATGTTGTGCAATAGATCTCCAAAACTTATTCTTTCTATCTAACTGAAACTTTGTATCCTTTGACCAATATCTGATTCCCTCCCTACTCCACCACTCCCCACTCCCAGCCCCTGGTAACCACCATTCTACTTTCTAGGTCAAAGGGTTCAATGTTTTTAGGTTTCCCATAGAAGTGAGGTCACACAGGGCTGGGCGTGGTGGCTCATGCCTGTAATCCTAGCACTTTGGGAAGCTGAGGCGGGTGGATCAGCTGAGGTCAGGAGTTGGAGACTAGCCTGGCCAACATGGTGAAACCCCGTCTGTACTAAAAATACAAAAATTAGCCAGGCATGGTGGTACATGTCTGTGATCCCAGCTACTCAGGAGGCTGAGGCAGGAGAATCACTTGAACCCGGGAAGCAGAGGTTGCAGTGAGTGGAGGTCATGCCATTGCACTCCAGCCTAGGTGACAAGAGCATAACTCTGTCTCAAAAAAAGAAAAAAAAAAAGAAGAAGTGAGGTCACGCAGTATTTGTCTTTTTGTACCTGGCTTATTTTACTTGGCATAGTGTCCTCCAGGCTCATCTGTCTTGTCACAAATGATAGGATTTCCTTCTTTTTAAGAGATGAATATGTCCCCATTGTGTATATAAGCCACATTTAATTTATCCATTGATGGACACTTAACTTGATTTCCCATCTTGGCTGCTGTGAATAGTGCGGCCATGAACATGAGAGTGCAGGTATCTCTTCAACAGAGTGATTTCAATTCCTTTGGATGTATACCCAGTAGTGGAATTGCTGAATCATGTTCTATTTTTAGGTTTTGGGGAATCTTCCATACTGTTTTCCATAGTGGCTGTACCAGTTTACATTCCCACCAACAGTGGACAAGGGTGCCCCTTTCTCCGCATCCTTGGCTACACTTGTTATATTTGATATTTTTGATAATAGCCATCCTAACAGGTGTGAGGTGACAGCTCATTGTGGTTTTCATTTGCATTTCTTTCTGATTTCAGTAGCTTTAGGAGTACAAGTAGTTTTTGGTTACATGGATGAATTGTACAGTGGTCAAGTCTGAGATTTTAGTGTTCCCATCACCCAAGTAGTGTACATTGTACCCAATAGGTAGTTTTTCAATCTCTCACCCCCTCCCACCCTCCTCCTTTCTGAGTCTTTGATGTCCATTATACCATTGCATATGCCTTTGCATACCCATAGCTTAGCTTCCACTTATGAGTGACAACATGTGGCATTTGGTTTTGCAATCCCAAGTTCCTTCGCTTGGAATAATGGCCTTCAGCTCTACCCAAGTTGATGCAAAAGACATTATTTCTTTCTTTTTTATGGCTGAGTAGTAATCTATGGCATATGTATATTACATTTTCTTTATCCACTCATCGCTTGATGGGCACTTATGTTGATTCCATATCTTTGCAATTGTGAATTGTACTGCAATAAACATATGCGCACAGGTGTCTTCTGATAGAATTACTTCTTTTCCTTTGGGTACATACCCAGTAGTGGGATTGCTGGATCAAATGGTTGATCTGCTTGTAGTTCTTTGAGAAATCTCTATACGGTTTTCCATAGAGGTTGTACTAATTTACATTCCTGCCAGCAGGATATAACCATTCCCTTTTAACTGTATCCACACCAGCATCTATTGCTTTTTGACTCTTTAATAATTGCTATTCTGGTTGGAGTAAGGAGGTATCTCTCACTGTGGTTTTAATTTGCATCTCCCTGATGATTAGTTAGGTTGTGCATTTTTTCATTGTTGACCATTTGTATATCTTCTTTTGAGAAATGTCTATTCCTGTCATTTGCCTACTTTTTGATGGCATTGTTTGTTTTTTTCTTGCTGATTTGTTTGAGCTCCTTGTAGATTCTGGATATTAGTCCTCTGTCAGACATATAGTTTGCAAATATTTTCCCCCATTCTGTGAATCGTCTGTTTCCTCTGATGATTATTTCTTTTGCTGTGTTGAAGGTTTTCAGTTTAATTAGTTCCCATGTATTTATTTTTGTTTTTATTACATTTGCTTTTGGGGTCTTAGGCACAAATTCTTTGCCTAGGCCAATGTCCAGAATAGTTTTTCCTAGTTTTTTTTTTCTAGAATTTTTATAGTTTCAGGTCTTAGATTCAAGTCTTTAATCCATCTTGAGTTGATTTTTATTATGGTGAGAGAGAGGGAACCGGTCTTATTCTTCTATATGTGGCTATCCAGTTTTCCCAGCATCATTTATTGAATAGGGTGTCCTTTCCTTAATTTATGTTTTTGTATGATTTGTTGAAGATCAGTTAGTTGTAAGTATTTGGCTTTATTTATGGGTTATCCATTCTGTTCCATTGGTCTATATATCTACTTTTATACCAGTACTATGCTGTTTTGGTAACTATATCCTTGTAGTATAATTTGTAAAGTAATATGATGCCTCCAGATTTGTTATTTCACTTAGGATTGCTTTGAACTATTTGTGCTCTTTTTTGGTGCCATATGAATTTTAGGATTGTTTTTTCTAATTCTGTGAAAAACAAAGTTGGTATTTTTATAGGAATTGCATTGAATCTGTAGATGGCACTGGGCAGTATGGTCATTTTCGTGATATTGATTCTTCCAATCCATGAGCATGGGATGTATTTCCATTTGTGTTATCTACGATTTCGTTCAGCAGTATTTTGTAGTTCTCCTTGTAGAGATCTTTCATCTTCTTGATTAAGTATATTCCTAGGGTTGTTTTTGTTTTGTTTTGTTTTGTTGAAGCAATTATAAAAAAGATTGAGTTCTTGATGTGATTCTCAGCCTGGCCGTTGATAAGTAGCAGTGCTACTGATTTGTATACATTGATTTTGTAACCTAAGACTTTACTGAATTTATTTATCAAATCTAGAAGTCTTTTGGAGGAGTCTTTAGGGTTTTTTACGCATACAATCATATCATCAGCAAACAGAGATAGTTTGACTTCTTTTCCAATTTGGATGTCCTTTCCTTCTTTCTTTCTTTCTCTTGCCTGATTACTCTGGCAAGGATTCCTTAATTTGCATTTATCTGATCTGAACATATTTCTCTGTGCTTATTGCAAAATAGGATTTTTATCTCTGTCTTGCTTAATAGGGTACTGATCCTCCAAAAGCTTACGTGCCTTCCCAAAAATCATGTAGTAAAAATAGAATAATTGTTGAAATGCAGGCTCTGGAGCCCAAATCCTGGCTTTTCTACTTATTAGCTGTGATGCTCAGGCCTCGGTTACCTCATCTGTAAAATGGGAGCAACCATAACTGCCTAAAAATGTGTTGTGAGATTCAGAAATAAAATACGTCAAATTACCACCACTACCTGACCCTTAAGAGAATCACTCTATAAATGACAGCATGATTATCATCTTCAGACAAGAAAGGGTGAGGGCTGCATGATGTGAGGTGGATTCTCCTGACCATTGCTGCCTGTGCATGTTGGTGGACTGGCTTCTCCCTTTGCTGAATGTTTTTCCCACAGATATTAGATAAAATGTAGAGTTGTCATTCAGGGAGGGAGACAGACAAATGGGAAATCTGTATCTCTCTTGATCCCAGATTAGTTGTTTAGAGAGCCCAAATAATCTGCTGTGGTGGTACCTGAGAGCTGGAATCAGAAGAAAAAACAAAAAAGAGCTCTTATTTTTTGGAATGATCTTTGTTTTTGTCAGTCCAGGTTGCTGTAACAAATTACCATAGGCTGGGGGGCTTAAATAATGAACACTTATTTCTCATATTTCTGGAGGCTGGAAGTCTGAGATCAGGGTGCCAACATGATCAGGTTACTGGCAAGGGCCCTGTTCCTGGCTCGCAGACAGCTGCCTTCTCACTGTGACCTTACATGGTAGAGAGCAGTGAGAGAAGCAAGCTCTTTCCTTTTTTTTTTTTTTTTGACCCGGAGTCTCACTCACTCTGTCACCCAGGCTGGAGTACAGTGGCGCTATCTTGGCTTACTGCAACCTCTGCCTTCCACACTCCAGAAATTCTCCTGCCTCAGCCTTCCAAGGAGCTGGGACGACAGGCGTGCATCACCATGCCCGGCTAACTTTTGTATTTTTAGTAGAGACAGAGTTTCATCATGTTGGCCAGACTGGTCTTGAACTCCTGACCTCAAGTGATCCACTGCTTTGGCCTCCCAAAGTGCTGGGATTACAGGTGTGAGCCACTTCACCCAGCCTTTCCTGTCTCTTTTATAAGGGCACTAATCCCATCATAAGGGCCCTACCCTCATGACCTAATCACCTCCCAAAGGCCCTACCTTCTAATATCATCCCATTGGGGGTTAGGATTTCAACAAGTGAATCTACAGAGGACATACAAATGCAGTCAATAACCATCAGAATCCCAATGGGCTCCTTCTAGCCAAAGGTCATTGGTCCAACTTTAGTTTTCTGTGCTATAATATGACACAGTGATGTGGGAAAAAAAGAATAATAATATTATTATAATTATTACCATGAGCCAGGAGCAGTAGCTCACACCTGTAATCTCAGCACTTTGGGAGGCCAATGCAGGCAGATGACTTGAGGTCAGGAGTTCAAGACCAGCCTGGCCAACATGTTGAAACCCCGTCTCCACTAAAAATACAAAAATTAGCTGGGCATGGTGGCACACACCTGTAATCCCAACTACTCAGGAGGCTGAGACAGGAGAATCCCTTGAACCTGGGAGGCAGAAGTTGTAGTGAGTGAACATTGTGCCACTGTACTCCAGCCTGGGCAACAGAGTGAGACCCTGTCTCAAAAAAAGTAATTAATTAATTAATTTTTTAAAAAAATTATTATGGAATTTGGAAAGATTGGGGCACTTGCAATTCAATTCAGGTAGGTCTTCTGATCTTGGAATTCACAAGTTATCAAGCCAAATGCTGCAGCTACCCAGGAAAGATGCAAAAAGTGAAACCTCTGCATGTTTCCTCACCCTGCCTCCTAACCAGCCCCTCCATCCCGCCAGTTCCATGCGGGGTCGTAGGGAGGCAATATCCCTTCTTAGAACTGAGAGAGAGCACATGCTAAGGAGGTCTGAGACTTACTCTCTTTTTTTCAACGAATTTAATTCTTTTCCAAAGATAAAATATAAACATGCAAAGATTCTCTGTAACAATGATGATATATGAGCTACCATTTATTAGATTCTTAACCCTGGGAGGGCCCACACAGATCTCTCAGCATGTGTTATTCCATTTAATACTTACAGAAAACCCTGAGTTCACAACCGATGCTAGAGATGGAGAAAATGAGGACCAGAGGCAAATAACTCGAGTATTATAACATTGCCCAAAAACTGAAATTCTTAACCATCCATTGTGACATCTAAAAACCCGGCCTCCTTCCTTTCTGCTGAGTTTATCTTGCTCTACACCTGAATAATAGTTTCAATAAACTCCACCAGGTGTCATCTACATATTTTTTCACAAATATGTCAAGATACAGTTTATTATCCTCTGAATGCTAACAAATTCTGGAGACGCAAAACCTACAGGGTGTGTATAAATAATTTGACTCAGCGGTGTAAATATGAATTCGATTTTTTTTTTTTTTTTTTTTTTTGAGATGGATTCTTGCTCTGTCGCCCAGGCTGGAGTGCAGTGGTGTAATCTCTGCTCACTGGAAGCTCCGCCTCCCGGGTTCACGCCATTCTCCTGCCTCAGCCTCCGGAGTAGCTGGGACTACAGGTGCCCGCCACCACGCCCGGCTAATTTTTTGTATTTTTTAGTAGAGACAGGGTTTCACCATGTTAGCCAGGATGGTCTCAATCTCCTGACCTCGTGATCCACCCGCCTCAGCCTCCCAAAGTGCTGAGATTACAGACATGAGCCACCGTGTCCAGCCTCAATGCTATTTAAACAAATGAACAACCTGGTTTCTCTAAGTTGTTGTGTTACTTCTTCTCTCTTGGATTTTTTATTGGCTCTCTGATGCCAATAGGAATCTGTTCTAAAACTGATTAGCCCTGAGAAAGACTCTGTAATCACATAAATCTGAAGTTAGGCATGCTTTCAATTTTTGTTTAGAAGAGAGATTTTTTTTTCCAAACAGGACGTGTTTCCCAAAGAAACATTAGTGTCTTTTATATTCTAAAACATGTCTGCTTCTGCGATTTCAAAGGACAGTAGGTCCAATTCTGCTTGTAACTGGCCAATTTCAGTTACTGTGAAAGACCGGTGGAGGAAGTGGTTTGTGAATAAGGTTTGAATAAAGCATATTATTAGACCTCAAGGAGAATCACTAGATTCTAACGTAGTTTTTCTTGCATTGCATTAATAAAGCAACGTTGTTATGAAGGTACGGCAATCTTGTCTTCTCTTGTTGGTTTGAAAGCTTGTTTTTTGTTGTTGTTGATCGGCCTTTGGATGGTCTACCCTAAGGACTAATTCATTTGGTTCTGCAATGCGTCATCGCTACGACCATGCCTTAAGTCTCAGAACACCTAGGGAGATAAATAGAAGTTATTTTTGTTATCTGGGCTTTATCAATACATTTCAGCTTGGAAAGATTATATGACTTGCCCTAAGTCCCACATTCAGCCACAGGGAAGGCTGAGCACAGTTCTAGGCTAAACCTTAACATACTGAAGACAGGAGGAATCTGGGGGATCCCAGGCTCATCTCTTACTTTACTGCTGATGTCAAAGACAATCAATAGAGGCCCAGCACAGTGGCTGACACCTGTAATCCCAACACTTTGGAAGGCTAAGGCAGGTCAATCACTTGAGGCCAGGAGTTCGAGAGCAGCCTGGCCAACATGGTGAAACCCCATCTCTACTAAAAATACAAAAATCAGCTGGGCATGACACCTACTCAGGAGGCTGAGGCACAAGAATGACTTGAACCCAGGAGGTGGAGGTTGCATGAGTCAAGATCGTACCACTGCACTCCAGCCTGGGTGACAGAACAAGACTCTCTCAAAAAAAAAAAAAAAGAGAGAGAGAGAGTGAGAATCAATAGATTCTAATGTAGTTTCCCTTACATTGCATCAATAAAGCAACATCATTATGAAGGCACTGCAATCTTGTCTTCTCTTGTTGGTCTGAAAGCTTGTTTGTTGTTGTTGTTGATCAGCCTTTGGATGGTCTGCCTTAAGGACTAATTTGCTTGGTTCTGCAGAAGCCAGTAGGGTCAGAGGCTGTTACAGACTGAATTATGGGCCCCCCTCAATCTCCTAGAATTCATATATTGAAATCCCAAGTCCCAGTGCCTCAGAATGCAAGCGGGCTTGGAGATATGGTTTTTGCAGAAATCATTAAGTTAAAATGAAGACATTAGAGTGGGCCCTATTCTTAATTCTAAAAGCTGGTGTTCCAATTACAGGTGGAAGGTTTTGACACAGACACACATGGAGGGAAGAGAATTGTGAAGCCATGGGGAAAAGACAGCCATCTGCAAGCCCAGGAGAGAGGCCTAGAGCAGACCCTTCCCCCACAGCCCTCAGAAGGACCAGCCCTGCGGACACCTTGACCTGGATTTCCAGGCTCCAGAACTGTGAGAAAATAAATTTCTGTTGCTTTAAGTGACTGCAATCTGAGCATACTAATACCTGGGCCATCGCAGCTGCCTTACCGATGATGATTCAGAGGCCTAAGGTGTCCTGATGCTGAGCTCTACACACCAAGACGGTGCCTCTGAAGCTAACAGTGCCAACTCCAGAAACCACAGACTAACCAGTTGTTTGGTGCTTACACACCCCACATCTGTCCTAGATACCCTGGAGGCACAGCACCAGGCTTCCTCCCCAGCAAATCTCAGTGGAAGGTGTGAAATTGGAGCCTTCTTGGCCAATTGGTCTGAGGTTGAGTTGACCTCCTGCCTTTCTCTCGACAATTCTCTGGCCAGGGAAGGTTTTCCTGGGAAATCCTCACTCATGTGTGGACTTGTGGAGGCTGTGCTCACCCAGACCGCCTGTTCTGACATTTTGTTCAAGAGGGCCACGTTGTTCTTATAAGGCTCACAGCCATGCTGCCCTCTCCCCAGAGTCCCACCTGTTCCCAGCAGCCATAACTCAAGTCTTTTTGTGGACAAAGAGGAACAGAGAGTAACGAGGCACTGTGCTAAGTGCTTTCCAGGCATGACTGCATCTCACCTTCACCGCCTCCCTGAGTGGAAGACATCGTCCTCTCCGTCTGCCAGATGGAGAAACTGAAGCACAGACAGGTTAGGAACTTGCCCCGAGTTCACACGGCTCATGAGTGAGGGGAATGGATTTGCTCTTGAGTTTCTAAGGCCTGTGCTTTGCTGCTACACAATGCAAGAGAGGTGACCAGATGGCCCTGAGCTCCTCTCCCTCCAAGGTAACCATGTGGAAAGGCCCAGCCAGGATGTAGCCGGGTTAGTGCTTGTGACGTTTTGTCTCTGGAAATTACAGAATCTGTCACTGCAGAGGCTGGCAGGGACTTGCTTTTCACAGGGCACAGTGGTTTATGCCTATAATCCCAGTGCTTTGGGAGGCCAAGTGGGGAGGATAGCTAGAGGCCAGGAGTTTGAGACCAGCCTGAGCAACATAGCGAGACCCCCATCTCTACAAAAAAAAAAAAAAAAAAAAAAAGAAAGAAAGAAAAAGAAAAAGAAAAAGAAAGAAAGAAAAAAAAGAACTGTGCCACTCATAGAGACCCAAAATATTGCTTCTGGCTCCATAATGAGGCAAACACAGAAAGTGAGAGTAAGTGTTCAGGAGCATCCACACACATTTAACAGAGCAATGCTATGTTGCAATAATTTAGTAATAAAAAAGAAACGAGCTTGTATTTTGTATGTTTTTTTAACACAAAAATTTCCATTTCTCATCACATATTAGACCCCACTGCAAATAAAAACCTGGGTCCTTACCACTGATAGTTTGAGAAGCCTTGCTGAGGCAGAGGTCTCAGTCACTGACTGAAGATAAAATGACATGGAAAAATCTGGAGCCCAGGAAATGCAGGGATTCTCTCCAGCTGCCAGAGCCACACAGGGGATGCCCAGCCACCAGGAAGTCCAACGTGAGCCCCTCAGCTACCAACTGCGCCCTTAGTAAGGGGCTTTCTGGAATGGTCAAATGGAAAGTAGCCTGGAAGTTGACAATTTGGCTTTTAGCCCTGGCTTTGGGTTTTTTGTTTGTTTTTGAGATAGGGTCTGGCTCTGTCACTCAGGCTGGAGTGCAGTGGCACAGTCTTGGCTCACTGCAGCCTCAACCTGCCATAGCCCTGCTTTCGCGGTGTGACCTTGGGCCAATCATTTAATCCTCTGTCCGCTGATTTCCTCATCTGTAAGCTGGAGATCATAATACTAGTGCCCGCCTCATAGGATTATTCTGTGGAATAAATGTGTTCATTTGGGAGTGTTCAGAGCAGTGCCTGGCATACAGTAAGTGCTATGTATGTGTTCACTATTATTACATTAGGTAGAAGTCATTTTTCCTTCTCTAGCCTGTGTTCTACTGAAACAGTTTTTAAACTACTTTTTTTGGGATATTTCTTTGTGAAGAATGTATTTCAAGACTTCCATATGCATTTGACTTACATTTAATTATTATTATTATTATTATTATTATTATTATTATTATTATTATTTGAGACAGAGTCTCGCTGTGGTGCCCAGGCTGGAGTGCAGTGGTATGATCTCAGCTCTCTTCAACCTCTGCCTCCTGGGTTCAAGCAATTCTCCTGCCTCAGCCTCCCGAGCAGCTGTGATTACAGGTGCACGCCACCATGTCCAGCTAATTTTTGTATTTTTATGAGAGACGGGGTTTTGCCATGTTGGCCAGGGTGGTCTCAAACTCCTGACCTAAAGTGACCCACCCACCTCTGCCTCCTCAAATGGTGAGATTACAGGCATAAGTCACTGTGACCAGGCTGTTCCAACTGTTTACCACAAAACTAAGCCTGCAGCGCTGGCCATTCATTTCTCAATTATCTGGGAAGAAATAGGGATGAGGCTGGGGGTATAGGAGAAGGACCTCCTGACTGGACAGCAGGAAACCAGCCCTGCCATTAACCACCCAGTGACCTCAGGCAAGTGCATGAACCTCCCTACCCTGAGGGTTTGGGGCTCTGCCACCCTCTGGATCTTGAGGCAGGTGCTTTTGACAGCAGCCCCTCCTGTCCTTTAGATAAATGGTTCCCAACCTTTTTGGCACCAGGGACCAGTTTCATGGAAGACAATTGTTCCATTGACCTGGTGTGAGGGAAGGTTTCGGGATGATTCAAGCACATTACATTTATTGTTCACCTTATTTTTATTATGATTACATTGTAATATATAATGAAATAATTATATAACTCACCGTAATATAGAATCTGTGGGAACCCTGAGCTTGTTTTCCTGCAACTAGATGGTCCCATCCAGGGGTGACAGGAGATAGTGACGGATCATCAGGCACTAAATTCTCATAAGGAGCATGCAACCTAGATCCCTGGCATATGCAGTTCACAATAGGGTTTGTGCTCCTATGAGAATCTAATGCTGCCACTGATCTGAGAGAAGGCAGAGCTCAGGCAATAATGTGAATGATGGGGAGCAGCTGTAAATACAGATGAAGCTTTGCTTGCTCGTCCGCCCGCCACTCACCTCTGGCTGTGCAGCCCGGTTCCTAACAGGCCACAGGCCAGTACCAGTCCATGGCCCGGGTGTTGGGGAACCCCGCTTTAGATAACAAAACAAGCAGCCAGGGCCTGGCATAGACTCATGTAGAGCCTCACCCTCTTCCCACTCCATTTTTGAGGCCATCCTAACCAAAAGACAGCAGAGAGAAGGAAGAGGCCCTGCATGAACAGTCGGTCCCTAAAGAGGATCTCACCTCAAGGCCAGGCGAACTGTGGTTTTGGGCTCCTGCCATTTGCCTGGGAAGCCTGAGTGAGTCTTTGCCGTTGTTAACATCCACAGGCCTCTGTCCGACTGGCTTTCATCCCAGCCCACTTAACTTTCCTGCCCAACAAATACCTGTGGTTTCCACCAGCCACATGCTACTCCCCTTCCTGAAATGCTCCTACTCCTTCCTGCCTTCAGGGACCAACCAGACCCAGTGTGAAGGCCCAGCTCAGTCCCTCCTGCCTCCCTGCACAACCCTTCTCCCTGGCCCTGTTTGACTCCTGCCTCTGTGCTATCCCACAGACCTGACATTTGCACAGCATTCATGGTTGCCAGGGCATGTCCACTGAACCCCAAAATACATTGATTTGTCAGCTTCTAAAACAAATCACCAGCTCTGGCATCTTAGGGCTACTATAGCAAAACACCATACACTGGGTGGCTTCTCAACACAGAAAGTGAATAGTTCTAGTGGCTGGAAAGTCCAAGATCAAGGCAGATTTGGTGTCTGGTGAGGGTGTGCTTTCCGGTTCATAGACAGCGCCTTTATGCTGTGTCCTCGAATGGTGGGAGGGGTGAGAGGGTTCCCTTGGGCCTCTTTTATAAGGGCACTAATTCAATTCACGAAACCTCCACCCTCGTGACCTAATCACTTCCCAGAGACCCTATCTCCTAATACCATCACCTCAGGGGTTAAGATTTTACCACATAAATTTTGAGGGCACACAAACATTCAGACCACACATCCAGGGAGCTGAGTGGGATTTTTGCCCCCATCTGCCTGTCCGGTGTCACTGGATAGCTGCCTGCAGTAGAGGGCTGGCTAGGGACTATTGTGCACTTTATGTACACACACCACCTCCTGTGAGCTTGGCATAACCCCTTTGAGGTGGGTGGTGGCTTCTTTTTTAGAAACTTCAAAAGTGTAGCTCACTTTCAGTCTGGGCTCAGACTGGATACCTCGTATACCAAACTGTCTTACAAAGAAATAAGCAGAAGGAGATCACATGCTGAAGCTCAGGGCCAATGCAGAGCCCGTAAGAGTCAGAGATAGGTCCAGCCCTGGGTCTATATGATGCCAAAGCCCCTCTTCTCCACCTCAGTCTCAGCCAGGCCTTGCCAGTCTGCCCCTCTCCCTCCTCTGCCACATCTGACCTTGCCCCTCGGTGGCTGAGGCTCTACAAAGCCCCTGGCAGTCAGGGAACATGGAACCCTAGAATCCTGTGAGGAGGGTCTGGACAAGGCAAATTAGTTCTCCACCTGGGAGGCACACAAGGCCTCCTCTCCACCTAGAGAGCAAATGAGAGGTGGGGCTGTTGGGTACCAAGGGTGAACCTGTCCACTAGGAAATGTGCAGGGGCGTCACTTTTGTTTAGGGTTGGGTTTGGTTTGGTCTGCACAGTGGCTTGGATCCAGAGCCACTCATATTTGATGGGGTTGAGGACAGCACTGCCAAACATCCTACACTGAGCAAGTCAGTCCTGCAGAAGGAAGGTCTGCCCACGCTGCTAGTACAGCCCCATGAGGAATCACTGAGTCCCATCAGCTAGCTTTTCCTTTTGTATCCTCTCCTTATTTTTTATCATCTTGACATTGACCCAAGGGGCTCAGTCCAGCACTCTGGACTCCATTGCCTGCTGTCAGGCTGCTGGAGGAGGCAGGCATCCAGAAACACGTGACCGAGCTTCTCTGCACTCGGGACTTTAATCTCCTTAGTTGAAATTGATTGACCTTTTGGGAGGCAGCTCTGCATTGGCCCTCAGATTCAGCATGTGATCAACTTTTGCTTATTTCTTTTAAAGACCAATTGACACACCATGGTATCCAGTCTTCTCCCTGAATACTGGGCCTATTTGCCAACTAGAAGCAAAACCAGGAACACACACACTTACAAAAACAGCTCAGGAAACAAAAGCACCTGAAAAAAATAAGGAGAGAAATATTCTGTCTCATGGTGACTTAGCATTATACAAAAGCCCAGTCAAAACACCATTACCAAGGAAAGATGAAATCACATGGGAAAGGAGAGATGGGAGGGGTTGGGGGAAAGAGTAAGCTGCCTGAAGCTTACGATAAATAAGCTGGGCTGGAGTATATCTAAGAACTAGCTGCAAAAAAGATAAAAAGGGAAGAAAAGTGAAACACCTTTTTTTTTTTTTTTCTGAAACAAAGTTTTGCTCTGTCACCCAGCCTGGAGTGCAGTGGTGTGGTCTTGGCTCACTGCAACCTCCACGTCCTGGGCTCAAGCTATTCTCCTGCCTCAGTGCAGGGGTGGGTTGCCCCTCCACACCTGTGGGTGTTTCTCGTAAGGTGGGATGAGAGATTTGGAAAAGAAAAAGACACAGAGACAAAGTATAGAGAAAGAAATAAGGGGACCCGGGGAACCAGCGTTCAGCATATGGAGGATCCCGCCAGCCTCTGAGTTCCCTTAGTATTTATTGATCATTCGTGGGTGTTTCTCGAAGAGGGGGATGTGTCAGGGTCACAAGACAATTGTGGGGAGAGGGTCAGCAGACAAACACGTGAACAAAGGTCTTTGCATCATAGACAATGTAAAGGATTAAGTGCTGTGCTTTTAGATGTGCATACACATAAACATCTCAATGCTTTACAAAGCAGTATTGCTGCCCGCAGGTCCCACCTCCAGCCCTAAGGCGGCTTTTCCCTATCTCAGTCGATGGAGCATACAATCGGGTTTTATACTGAGACATTCCATTGCCCAGGGACGGGCAGGAGACAGATGCCTTCCTCTTGTCTCAACTGCAAGAGGCATTCCTTCCTCTTTTACTAATCCTCCTCAGCACAGACCCTTTACGGGTGTCGGGCTGGGGGATGGTCAGGTCTTTCCCTTCCCACGAGGCCATATTTCAGACTATCACATGGGGAGAAACCTTGGACAATACCTGGCTTTCCTAGGCAGAGGTCCCTGCGGCCTTCCGCAGTTTTTGTGTCCCTGGGTACTTGAGATTAGGGAGTGGTGATGACTCTTAAGGAGCATGCTGCCTTCAAGCATCTGTTTAACAAAGCACGTCTTGCACCGCCCTTAATCCATTTAACTCTGAGTTGACACAGCACATGTTTCAGAGAGCACTGGGTTGGGGGTAAGGTCACAGAATCTCAAGGCAGAAGAATTTTTCTTAGTACATAACAAAATGGAGTCTCCTATGTCTACTTCTTTCTACACAGACACAGTGACAATCTGATCTCTCTTGCTTTTCCCCACATTTCCCCCTTTTCTTTTCCACAAAACCGCCATCGTTGTCATGGCCCGTTCTCGATGGTCGCTGTCTCTTCAGAGCTGTTGGGTACACCTGCAGACTAACAACAGACAAAACAGGCACACAAGGATTAATATGAGATTTATAATCGTAGTACTTCCGATGGTCTTAACCCAAGTGACAGGGTTAAGATTTGCGAGGCCATCAGCAACTCCTGCAATTGCCTCAGTGCCTGGCACCAAATTTAAATGGGCTTTTGATGCTTCGAAAATTTGTTCTTTTAATTTGGAAATGTCTAAAGTGAGATTATCTTCTCTTCCTTGTAGATGGCGTCTAACCATGTCCCAGTGATGCTCAGACTCATTATAAATTTGGGGTGTAATACAAAAATCTGACGTATTCCAGTCACACTGTAACTGGAAACGATGTTCTAAGCTCATGAGTCTGTCTCCCATCCAAATGACAGTTTGTCTAAGATCATTAATTTGATTTGCCAATTTTTGATCAATACTAGATTGTGAATTCCACAATCTTGTAGAATTTTTTTGCCAATCATTAACAAAGTTTACTGACTGAACAGAAGAGTGCAATGCAACTCCTGCTACAGCAGCCGTAGCTGTGACTGCAATTAATCCCATAATCACTGCAATTAAAGTAAAAATGAATCTTTTGGATCTATTTAAAACACCTTTTAATACTTCAGTCAAAATATGGACGGATGGCAAGGCCTCCCACGGTCGGTCCATGGACACAGGGATCCACACGCCCTCTCTTGCTCTCACCAGCAGAATACGGTGTTGCCAATTAAAAGTTGAATCAATGCAAGTAAACAATCTACAATTTTCACAGGTTATAGTCTGGGAGTATGGTTTAATAACTATATTTCCTACAACTAGCATATAAGGGGGCTTTACGCAACTTTGTAAAGGAACCGTTAGACTGGAATTTAGGTCGATAGTATAAAATGGCTTACGATCTCTTGTTTCTAAAGTTTGATTTCCAGACCAAATTCTAATGTGGTGTGAGGCCACAGTAAGCCTCCATAATTCTGGATGTTCAGGACCAGAAACAGGACTTATTATTTTTGGTCTTGGGGTAGAGATTCCTTTTTCTCCCCATTCCCAAGGGTAGAAAGACTGCAATTTTTTATGCTTATGTTTGTCTAAACTTTCTGTTAAGTCGCTATCAACAGCTGGACTCACTTGTGCACTTGGACATGACTGAGTTTGTCCTGAGCAATTGTGGTAGAATTGACCTCGAGGTGCCCAATCTATAATAGTTCCGAATTTATTGTTTTGTAATATCACCGCACTATTGGCCACACATTCTTCCCAAACTAAAACTTCTGTATTTTTTGATTCTTTGGGAATTTCCTTGGGGCAAGGTTTCCCTTTAGGTCTAAATTTTAATGATCTTTGATAAGAAAAGTCTTGTAAATAATTTACCCGTGGCCTGAGTGACATCCCGCTTACCATGTGATAAGTGAATCTACTGATGGGACTGACAGTAGGTACTTCTACCAACCAATTTTGGACTGCAGGCATTAAACATCCTGGTGCTCTCACTAGGCAAATAGGAGGATAACAATACCCAATGGAAATATTTATCATCATCCCTTCTTCCTCAGGTTTGGCAGGGCAGCGATCATCTGTGGGGCCAGGTACCCATACGCTATCATTAACATATACTTCTATAGGATTATCCATCCATGTGACTGGTGTTACCATCTCCGTGGAGGCCCTTTTCTTTGCATCTCTGATGGGTTCATTGTAGAACTTCAAATGTCTAGTGGGTATTTGGCATGTTTTTGCAGTGGCTGGTACCGGTTGTTCCTTTCCATGTTTAGTGCTTGCTTCAGGAGCTCTTTTAGGGCATGCCTGGTGGTGACAAAATCTCTCAGCATTTGCTTTTCTGTAAAGGATTTTATTTCTCCTTCACTTATGAAGCTTAGTTTGGCTGGATATGAAATTCTGGGTTGAAAATTCTTTTCTTTAAGAATGTTGAATATTGGCCCCAACTCTCTTCTGGCTTGTAGAGTTTCTGCCGAGAGATCAGCTGTTAGTCTGATGTGCTTCCCTTTGTGGGTAACCCGACCTTTATCTCTGGCTGCCCTTAACATTTTTTCCTTCATTTCAACTTTGGTGAATGTGACAATTATGTGTCTTGGAGTTGCTCTTCTCGAGGAGTATCTTTGTGGCGTTCTCTGTATTTCCTGAATCTGAATGTTGGCCTGCCTTGCTAGATTGGGGAAGTTCTCCTGGATAATATCGTGCAGAGTGTTTTCCAACTTGGTTCCATTCTCCCCGTCACTTTCAGGTACACCAATCAGATGTAGATTTGGTCTTTTCACATACTCCCATATTTCTTGGAGGCTTTGTTCATTTCTTTTTATTCTTTTTTCTTTAAACTTCTCTTCTCACTTCATTTCACTCCTTTGATCTTCCATCACTGATACCCTTTCTTCCAGTTGATCAAATTGGCTACTGAGGCTTGTGCATTCGTCACACAGTTCTCATGCCATGGTTTTCAGCTCCATCGGGTCCTTTAAGGACTTCTCTGCATTGATTATTCTAGTTAGCCATTCGTCTAATTTTTTTCAAAGTTTTTAACTTCTTTGCCATGGGTTTGAACTTCCTCCTTTAGCTTGGAGTAGTTTGATCATCTGAAGCCTTCTTCTCTCAACTCGTCAAAGTCATTCTCCATCCAGCTTTGTTCTATTGCTAGTGAGGAGCTGCATTCCTTTGGAGGAGGAGAGGCACTCTGATTTTTAGTTTCCCGTTTTTCTGCTCTGTTTTTTCCCCATCTTTGTGGTTTTATCTACCTTTGGTCTTTGATGATGATGACGTACTGATGGGTTTTTGGTGTGGATGTCCTTTCTGTTTGTTAGTTTTCCTTCTAACAGTCATGACCCTCAGCTGCAGGTCTGTTGGAGTTTGCCGGAGGTCCACTCCAGACCCTGTTTGCCTGGGTATCAGCAGTGGAGGCTGCAGAACAGCAGATATTGGTAAACAGCAAATGTTGCTGCCTGATTTTTCCTCTGGAAGTTTTGTCTCGGAGGAGTACCTGGCCATGTGAGGTGTCAGTCTGCCCCTACTGGGAGGTTCCTCCCAGTTAGGCTACTCGGGGGTCAAGGACCCACTTGAGGAGGCAGTCTGTCCATTCTCAGATCTCCAGCTGCATGCTGGAGAACCACTACTCTCTTCAAAGCTCTCAGACAGGGACATTTAAGTCTGCAGAGGTTTCTGCTGCCTTTTGTTTGGCTATGCCCTGCCCCAGACGTGGAGTCTACAGAGGCAGGCAGGCCTCCTTGAGCTGTGGTTGGCTCCACCCAGTTCGAGCTTCTGAGCCACTTTGTTTACCTACTCAAGCCTCGGCAATGGCAGGCGCCCCTCCCCCAGCCTCGTTGCTGCCTTGCAGTTTGGTCTCAGACTGCTGTGCTAGCAATGAATGAGGCTCCGTGGGCGTAGGACCCTCCAAGCCATGCACGGGATATAATCTCCTGGTGTGCCATTTGCTAAGACCATTGGAAAAGTGCAGTATTAGGGTGGGAGTGACCCAATTTTCCAGGTGCCGTCTGTCACCCCTTTCTTTGACTAGGAAAGGGAATTCCCTGACCCCCTGTGCTTCCCAGGTGAGGCGATGCCTTGCCCTGCTTCGGCTCTCACTCAGTGTGCTGCAGCCCCTGTCCGACATTCTCCAGTGAGATGAACCCAGTACCTCAGTTGGAAATGCAGAAATCCCCAGTCTTCTGCATCACTTACGCTGGCAGCTGTAGACTGGAGCTGTTCCTATTCAGCCATCTTGGCTCCTCCCCCCACAAAAAACGTTTTTTAACTGATAAATATTACCTTTGGAAAATGTGCGAAATTAGTGCCCCCAATGGGTGTCCTTCACTACCACGATCTGTTTTCACATTGACACCCCTTAGTTACAGAGAAGGGGTCCTGATCCAGACACCAAGAGGGGTTCTTGTATCTCACCCAAGAAAGAATTCAGGGTGAGTCCATAGGGTAAAGTGAAAGCTTATTAAGAAAGTAAAGAAATGAAGAATGTCTACTCTGTAGGCAGAGCAGCCCCTGGAGGCTGCTGGTTTCCCATTTTTTATGGTTCTTTCTGGATTATATGCTAAACAGTGAATGGATTATTCATGCCTCCCCTTTTTAGACCATATAGGGTAACTTCCTGACATGACCATGGTATTTGTAAATTGTCATGGCACTGGTGGGAGTGTAGCAGTGAGGACCACCAGAGGAACTCTCGTCGCCATCTTGGTTTTGGTGGGTTTGGGCTGGCTTCTCTATTGCAATCTGTTTTATCAGCAAGGTCTTTATGACCTGTATATTGTGATGACCTCCTATCTCATCCTGTGACTTAGAAGGCCTTAACCATCTGGGAATGCAGCCCAGTAGATCTCAGCTTCATTTTACCCAGCCCCTATTCAGGATGGGGTTGCTCTGGTTCAAACGCCTCTGACACCTCCACCATTCCCAAGAGCCTCCTTTGCCAAAAATGTGCACCTAACAATAAGAGCTAAACTGAACATGTTCTGTGGTCAGGCTTGGCCACGTGATCTCATTTCATTCTTACAACAACCCTGTAAGAGAAATATTATCTCCCCTTTGCAATACAGAGCATGTTCGGTGGGGGTTAGGTGACTTCCCCAACATCACAGGCTAGTTTGTGGGGTAAGATTCTTCCTTATCCACATGCTGTCAGGATCCAGATGAGACATTTATCCTCCTACACCCCAGCTTGAATTCTGTGGAACCACTGGGCAGGCTTCAAATGTAGGCACAGTGAGCTGATTTGTAATAATAACAGCCAATATCTGAGTACCTACCACGTGCCAGGCATTGTACATAGAGTCTTTCATTTGACAACTCAATAAGATATGTATGTCTGCAGCTCGATATTATAGGCTGATCTTTGTTAGAAAAGAAATGATTTGGGGGCTGCTTTTCAGTAAAAGGAAAACTTTTAAAACCTTACGGAGGACTTCCTTACCCTGACTATCTGCCTAAATAATTTCTTTTTAACTTCTATATCAATAGCTTAATGCAGCCTTGAACTCCTGGGCTCAAGCAACCCACCTACCTCAGCTTCCCAAGTAGTTGGGACTACAGGCATGCACCACCGTGCCTGGCTAAATTTTTTTTTTTTTAGAAATGGGGTCAGCCAGGTGCGGTATCTCACGCCTGTAATCCCAGCACTTTGGGAGGCCGAGGCGGGCTGATAACGAGGTCAGGAGATCGAGACCATCCTGGCAAACATGGTGAAACCCCGTCTCTATAAAAAATACCAAAAATTAGCTGGGCGTGGTGGCGGGCACCTGTAGTCCCAGCTAGGCGGGAGGCTGAGGCAGGAGAATGGCGTGAACCCAGGAGGCGGAGCTTGCAGTGAGCCGAGATGGCGCCACTGCACTCCAGCCTGGGTGACAGAGCAAGACTCCGTCTCAAAACAAAAAAAAAGAAAAGAAATGAGGTCTAGCTATGTTGCCCAGGCTGGTCTTCCTGCAGCTTTGACCTCCAGGCCTCAAGCAACCCTCCCACCTTCAACTCCCAAAGTGCTGGGATTATTGGTGTGAGCCACCACACTCTACCCACAGCTGTTCATAAAACTTCAGATGATAAGCAGTTTTAATGCCCAGAATTTAACTACATGGAGTATGTTCCCAACTTCCTGTAGTTTCTAATCTCTGGGTAACACACCTCTCCCATTTTTGTTCTCCCAGTCCTTCCACCAGCTTTATAACTTAATTCCCTGTATTCAAGCTCTCTCTTTGAAATATCTAAGGTGATTTCTGCTTTTTCTACTGAACACTTACTAATAAACCCTTTTTCCAATTCTTTTCCTTTATAGATTTGTGTAAATGCCCAAGGTTTTATTATTCAGGTGCCTGTCCTTTCTCCTTTTTGCTGAGTTCTTCAATGTGACCTTTCTGATTTAAGTTTTTTTTTTTTTTTTTTTTTTTTTTTGAGATGGAATCTCACTCTGTCACCCAGGCTGGAATGCAGTGGTGTGATGTCGGCTCACTGCAACCTCTGCCTCTTGGGTTCAAGGGATTCTCATGTCTCAGTCTCCTAGGTAGCTGGGACTACAGGCACTAGCCACAATGCCCAGCTAATTTTTTGTATTTTTAGTAGAGACCAACTTTTGCCATGTCTCTAGGTCAGGATCTGAGGTCACGACCACCTGACCTCAGGTGATCCACCTGCCTTGGCCTCCCAAAGTGCTGGCATTACGGGCATGAGCCACTGTGCCTGGCCCTTTCTGGTTTCAATTTTTTGGTTATCATTGTTTCTTCCCACCACCCTCTCAACATTGACAGGCGAGAGTTAACGCTTGCCTTTTATTGCTCTCCTCTGCACTTAGATCTCTGTTACATTAAACTACAAAGCAGCTAAAGCACTGGACAACCCAATCCCTTCCTCTGGGACACTGCCACCTGGGAGCATCGCTGAACATTTTGTTCTACTGGGTCATTAGAAACAAGATCTGCAGGCCAGGTGCGGTGGCTCATGCCTGTAATCCCAGCACTTTGGGAGGCTGAGGCCAGCATATCACTTGAGATCAAGAGTTTGAGACCAGCCTGGCCAACATGGTGAAACCCCATCTCTACAAAAATACAAAAAAATTACCCTAACGTGGTGGCACATGCCTGTAATCCCAGTTACTTGGGAGGCTGAGACAGGAGAATCACTTGAACCCAGGAGGCAGAGGTTGCAGTGAGCCAAGATCATGCTATTGCACTCCAGCCTGGGCGACAGAGTGAGACTTCATCTCAAAAAAAACAAAAAACAAAAAAAACCCCACAAGATCTGCCCACAGCAGGGCTCTGCCCCTGTTGATGGGAACTATGCATAACTAATAAACAGGAAAATTAGTGGCAAAATGGCCTGATCCTTCTCAACATGCTTCTAATAACTTCCAAATCTTCCAAATCTCCCAATCTAGATTTCCTTATATACCTTCTTTCCTTCCTAGATGATTACTCCAAACCTTCAAACTCAGGCATTTTTGAGTCTACATTTGCTCTTCCTTTCCTCCCCATCATATGGCACTTTGCTCTGCAAAGGATTAACCCAGCTTCTCGGTCACATTGTACACACTTGTTTTTTTTCTTAGACAGGGTCTCACTCTGTTGCCCAGGCTGGAGTGCAGTGGCATGATCTCGGCTCACTGCAACCTCCGCCTCCCGGGTTCAAGTGATTCTCCTGCCTCAGCCTCCCGAGTAGCTGGGATTACAGGTGTGCACCAACACATCTGGCTAATTTTTGTATTTTTCGTAGAGATGGGGTTTCACCATGTTGCCCAAGCTGGTTTTGAACTCCGGGACTCAAGCTATCCACCCGCCTTGGCCTCCGAAAGTGCTGGGATTACAGGTGTGAGCCACTGTGTCTGACCTACCGTACACATTTGAAATAAGAGCTGGCTTGGTCTCTAGTTGTGGATGCTGAGATGTCAGAGGTACCCAACAATCTGGCAGATTTAAGATGAGACTTTATCTTGCAGCATTGCAAATACCACGTGGGATAGATACCAGAACTCTGTTTCAAAGCTGAGGTAAATAATGTTCAGAGGAGTTTACTACTTGTCCAAAGTCACATAGAGTGTAAGAGGGAGAGCCAGGTCTGAATCCAGGTCTTTCTGTTGCCACAGCTCCTGCCAAACACTGCAGTCAATGCAGGAAAACATAAATGAAAGCATTGGATCTTAAATTCCAGCAAAACGCTATTGCAGCTACTCAGAAGACTGAGGCATAAAATCACTTGAACCCGAAGGTGGAAGTTGCAGTGAGCCAAGATCATGCCACTGCACACCAGCCTGGCCAACAGAGGAAGACTCTATCACCAAAAAAAAACAAAACAAAACAAAAAAATCTGAATATTTTATGGACTTTAGTTAATAATAAGGTATCAACATATCAACACTGGTCCAATACTGTAACAAATGTACCCTACTGATGTAAGATGTTAGAAACATGGGAAACAGTGCAAGATATATGGGAACTCTCTGTATTAACTTCATGATTTCTCTGTAAATCTATAACCATTCCTAAAAATAAATTTCATTTGGCCGGGTGCAGTGGCTCATGCCTGTAATCCTAGCACTTTAGCAGGTTGAGGTAGGTGGATCAGTTGAGTCCAGGAGTTCAAGACCAGCCTGGCCAACTTGGTGAAACCCCATCTCTACTAAAAATACAAAAAATTAGCCAGGCGTGGTGGTGCACACTTGTAGTCCCAGCTACTCAGGAGGCCGAGGCACGAGAATCACTTGAACCTGGGAGGTGGAGGTTGAAGTGAGCTGAGATCGCACCACTGCACTCCAGCCTGGGCAACAGAGACTCTGGCTCAGAAAATAAAGTTCATTTAATTTACATTTTTGAGAAATTCCCCAGTTCCTCGAGTCAGATCTAATTACCTGTTATGTGTTCATATAGCAATCTGGACTACTGGCTAAATGAATTAATTTATCACCGAATGTAATTATACGTTTGTGCATTTTGCTCGCTGTTGTATCTTAGTGCAAGGTCAGGGCCTGGCTCTTGACAAGATCTTAGTAATAGACATAGAGTAAGTGCAACATCACAGAATAAAAGTTTCATGACAACAGGATTTTGTCTGTTCTGTTCTCTGTTGTATCCCCATCACCCAGATGATGTCTGGCACATGGAACACGCTCAATCAGGATAAATTCCTCCCCAAGTGGAGTCAAGGAATCTTTTCCCTAGTGATCCAGGGCTCTCAACCACCCTGGATCCTTTTAGGGTGGCCTGTCCGCTGTGGGTTGGGGCCACGGGCTTGTAGGAAGAGGGGATTGACTTCCCCGTTCCTGGCTGAGGCTCCACATCTTCCCTCTGTACTAGGCTCTGCAGAAAATTTTCAGTTGGGGCAATGTGCTGCTCAGTTAGTGCCATTTACCAAAATGAGGGAAAGTAAGAAAGGGCAAGTGGGAGGTGCAGTTTAAAGAAGATTCGTTAGACATCTAATTGACAAAATCAAGTAGGAAACTGCATACATCTGTCTACAACTCAGGGGTGGCGTAAAGCTGTAGATATAAAGCTGGAATTCATCAGCCTATAGATGGGGTCTGAAACCAAAAGAATGGTGGGGCTGCCACTGCGGGAAACAGCATGGCGGTTCCTCAAAAGATTAAACGTGGAATGACCAAAGGATCCAGCAATTCCACTTCTGGGTAATGTGGTCTATGGAATATTATTTGCCCTTAAAAAAAATAAGGATATTCTAACCCATGCTGCATGGATGGACCCTGAGGACATTATGCTAAAGGAAGTAAGCCAATCACAGAAGGACAAATACTGTATGATGCAATTTCTAGGAGATCCCTACAGTAGTCAACTCATAGAGACAGAAAGTAGAACGATGGTTGCCAGAGGCTAGGGGAGGAGGGAATGGGGAGTTGTTGTTTCACGGGCACGGAGTTTCTGTTTGGCAAGATGAAAAGGTTCTGGAGATAGATGGTAGTGATGGTTGCACAACAATGTAAACATACTTAATGCCACAGACTGTACAATTAAAAACAGTTAAAACGGCCAGGCACGGCGGCTCACGCCTATAATCCTAGCACTTTGGGAGGCTGAGGCAGTGGATTGCCTGAGCTGAGGAGTTCAAGACCAGCCTGGGCAACATGGTGAAACTCCATCTCTACTAAAATACACAAAAAATTAGCCAGGCATGGTGGCGAGAGCCTGTAGTCCTAGCTACTCGGGAGGCTGAGGCATGACAATTGTGCTTGAACTCAGGAGGCAGAGGTTGCAGTGAACTGAGGTCACGTCACTGAACTCCAGCCTAGGCAATAGCTCGAGACTCGTCTCCAAAAAAAAATTAACAATAATAATAATAATTAATAAATATAAAAATAAAAATGGTTAAAATGGTAAATGTGTGTGTGTGTGTGTGTGTGTGTGTGTGTGTGTGTATATATATATATATGTTTTTTTTTTTTTTTCTGAGACCAAGTTTCGCTCTTGTTGCCCAGGCTGGAGTGCAATGGGCCTGATCTTGGCTCACCACAACCTCCGCCTCCTGGGTTCAAGCGATTCTCCAGCCTCAGCCTCCCGAGTAGCTGGGGTTATAGGCATGCGCCATCATGCCTGGCTAATTTTGTATTTTTAGTAGAGACAGGATTTCTCCATGTTGGTCACGCTGGTCTTAAACTCCCAACCTCAGGTGATCCCCCGCCTCAGCCTCCCAAAGTGCTGGGATTACAGGCATGAGCAACTGCGCCCGGCCTTGTTATGTATATTTTACCACAATAAAAGAACTCATTATTATGTACTGAATGCTTCCTGTATGCCCAGCATCTTTTAAGTGCTGTCCGGGTTTCAAACTCATTGAATCCTCCTATTTTCAAGGTAGGTACATTATCACCCCCATTTTATAGGCAAGGAAAGTAGTGATCAGAGAAGTTAAGTAAAAGGCCTAAGCTGTTTTGTTTTGTTTTGTTTTTTTGTAGAAGGAGTCTCGCTCTGTCGCCCAGGCTGGAGTTGCAGTGGCGCGATCTCAGCTCACTGCAAGCTCTGCCTCCCAGGTTCACGCCATTCTCCTGCCTCAGCCTCCCAAGTAGCTGGCACTACAGGTGCCCGCCACCACACCCGGTTAATTTTTTGTATTTTTTTTTATAGTGGAAATGGGGTTTCGCCGTGTTAGCCAGGATGGTCTCGATCTCCTGACCTCGTGATCCACCCGCCTCTGCCTCCCAAAGTGCTGGGATTACAGACATGAGCCACCGAGCCCAAACTAAGCTGTTTTTAAAAATTTGCTAAGGATTGTTTTATGGCTGAATGTCTGTTCAATTTTAGATTATGTGCCATGTGCAGATGAGAAGAAGGTATATTCTGTCATTTGGGGTGGAGAGTTCTCTAGAAGTCTATTAGGACGATTTGGTAGGTATTAAGGTCCCAGATATCTTTGTTAGTTTTCTGCCTCAATGATCTGTCTAATACTGTCAATGGGGTATTGGAGTCTCCCACTATTTTTGTGTGATTATCTAAATCTCTTCATAAGGCTGTAAGATCTTGCTTTATGAATCTGGGTGTTCCTGTGTTGGGTGCATGTATATTAAGGATAGATTTTTTTCATTATGTAATTTCCTTCTTTGTCTTTTTTGTTCTTTGTTTGTTTGAAGTTTGTTTTGACTGAAATTTGAATAGCAACCCCTGCTTTATTAGTTTTCCTTTTACTTGGTAGATTTTTCTCCATCCCTTTATTTCGAACCTATGGATGTTTTTGCATTTGAGATGGATCTCTTGAAGATATAGTTGGATCTTGCTTCTTTACCCAAGTTGCTACTCTGCCTTTTAATTGGGGGGCATTTAGCCTGTTTGTATAAGTTTAATGTTGATTTGTGCGGATTTGATGCTGTCATTTTGTTGTTAGGTGGTTATTATGCAGACTTGATTGTGTGGTTGCTTTATACTCTCAATAGTGTATGTATATGAGTGAGTGTGTGTGTGTGTATGTGTGTGTGTGTTTTGTGGCAAGTAGTGGTTTTTCCTTTCCATATTTAGCACTCCCTTTGGGACCTCTTGTAAGACAGGCCTAGTAGTAAAGGAATTCCCTTAGCATTTGTTTGTCTGGAAAGGGTCTTATTTCTCCTTTGTCTATGAAGCTCAGTTTGGCTGGACAAGAAATTCTTGGTTGGAATTTATTTTCTTAAAAAATGCTAAATATAAGCTCCCAATCTCTTCTGGCTTGTAGGATTACATTTGAATGTAATCTTTCATTTAAATCTTGGAGAATATGATAGCATTTTTCAGGGGTTTTCTGCATTTCTTGAATTTGAGTGTTGGCCTCTCTAGTAAGATTGGTGAAATTTTTGTGGATGATATCCTCAAGTGTGTTTTCCCAGTTGTTTACTTTATCTTCCTCTCCTTAAGGGATGCCAATGAGCCATAGATTTTTTTCTCTTTACATAATCTCACATTTCTCAAAGGTTTTGTTCATACTTCTTTATCTTATTTTATTTTTGTCTGGCTGAGTTATTTCAGAGAATAAGCCTTTCAGATCTGGGATTCTTTCCTCAGATTGGTCAATTCCACTGTTAATAATTGTGATTGTATTATAAAATTTTTGAAGTGAATTTGTCAGCTCTATCAGATCAGTTTTGTTCTTTACTAAAATGTCTATTTTTGTCTTTTGTCTTCTGTATTGTTTTGTTTGTGTCTTAGATTCCTTGTATTGGGTTTTAACTTCCTCCTGGATGCCAATGATCTTCATTTTTATTTATATTCTAATTCAATTTATGTCATTTTAGCCATTTCAGCCTCATTAAAAACCATTGCTGAAAAACTAGTATGATTCTTTGGAGGGGCAAAGACATTCTGACTTTTTAAGTTGCCACAGTTCTTGCAGTGTTTTTTTCTCATCTGTGTGGGCTAATGTTTCTTCAACCTTTAACCCTTTTCCTGTTTGCCCTGAGAATACTCACCAGTAGTGCTTGTGGCTGCAGAATTTAGCCCAAGATAACTTTGTCACAAAATATATCACCTTTATTATTATTCTTGCATCACTCTAGTATATTGACTTTGGAAATAAAAGACATTATTCTATTTTTAGCATCTTGTTTTTAGTGATGGTATTTTCAGTAAAATATATAGTATTTCTTGATTGCTGAAAATGACCAATCCTAGAAAACAGCATTTCTACATGTGATATTAACATCATTCTCAAACAATTGTTGGCTAAAGAGTCATGTGACGAATTCTGATTTTTCTGAAATAGATGATTCTGATTATTCAGATGATTCTGATGTTAGTTCTGTTTATAAATAACTTCAAGAACAGTTTTTATATTTTATTTTCACATTGAAAATCAGTCAGATTTGCTTCAGCCTCAAAGAGTATGTCTATGTAAAATTAAATGAATGCTTGCAGTAAGCTGTACTTTTTTTTCTAAATGGGAAAAGGGTTAAAGTTGTTGTCAATTGCATGGGTTTTTTTTGGCATTTATCTTCTGTGATTCCCTTTTGAGTTAATCGTAGTATAAGGTGGGTGCAGTTGACTGGGTTCATTTCTGGAAGATTTTAAAGTGCCAAGGCTCAACTCAGCATTCCTGGGCTGCATAGTCTAACTCTCAGGGGCTGATAGTAGAACCTTGGCTTTGTTCTCTGGCCTCTCCAGGATAAAAAGCTGCTGTGCTAGAGGGACTGAGTTGTTCTCAGTCCTCTGGCCACAACACTCTGATGGGTGGTGCTAGCCAAAGCACTTCATCAGGGTGATGGCAGCAGGATTTGTTCTCATCCATGCATGCTAGCAGTCGTGGCAGTGCAGCAGTATGGATATGCATTGGCTGGGGAAGCGTACCCACACAAATGAGGCTACAGTGCTCCTGCTCATGCTTATGCAGGATATGGGGTGCATGCTGGGATGGGGATGCTGGTATCCATGTTTGCAGTTATGCCTGCGATGGTGATGGTGGGACAATCATGGGTGTGGGGCTCCTGGCCTCCATGCATGCATTTGTAACTTTAGTGGAGATGGTGCAGGGGTGGGCAAGCTACAAATGGGTCTGTATAATAGTGGCTGTATTCATCTGTGTGCAACAAGAAGTGTCAGCAACTGCACAGATTCTTTTCTGTTCATCCAGTAAGTAATCTAGAGAGAGTATATTATCTAGCACAACTTTAGCTAGATAATTTAGAGAAGTCTGTTATGCAACTGTAGCCTTTACAGTAGAATCTGCTTCAGGGAGTTTTATGAGAGATAAACGTTTAATCATTGCTTCATTTACTTCAAACCATACAAACAGACCAAACAAATAATGCACATCCAGAAGAGTGAAGGCCTCTTGGCAATGCTCTCTAACCTATGATATATGTTAAGAGAAGTGGACCAATGTTCTGACTATGAGGCAACAAATATACTGTTCCAATTTCTCACCCATTTTGTCTCTTCATCATTTATATATCAAGGCATAAAGTCATCTCTTTTAAGCTTGGTTGTAAAATCCTTCACAAATATAAGTATATCCCTTTTACACAAGATCCATTTTATAGTTTGATTGTTTATAGAGGCAGGAGCAAGAAAAAAATTGAGGTAAAAGTGTCATAATAGTAGAGAAGTCTTGATTTGTAATCTTGGGATGGCTGTTTATGTTCAGGATGTTATCTGCTTCTGGGGAGAAAGTTTCCTGGTTAGCTTTACCTTAAGTTCTCTAATGAGTGCACAGTTCCAAAAGTCTTGATGGGACCTTCTTGATGGGACCTTCTGAGTTGTCAGATTATAAACCCAAGGTTTCAGGTCCTGAAACTTTTCTACAGTGTGAGTGACAAGGGCAGTATTTCCCTGATGTTGTTTCCAGAAGACAAAGTCTCTGGGTTTTAGATCATGAATGGTTTAATTCTCCTCAATTGGCATATCACAACAAGCTGTTTTTACTCGGTGAAAATACATAGTGCATTAAGGCTTTGAAGCATTTATTCATATCAGAGTTTAGAAGCAGAAGATGCATGAAGATGCAATAATACATGCATGCATTATTAGGAGCAAAGCTCTTCTGGTGACTATTTCATAAGGGGTCAACTTATGTTTTCCACTGGAAGTGGATCTGATTCTCAGCAATATGTAATACCTTTGATCAAGACAATCCAGTCAATTCAGTTAGCCTAGTCTAATGCTATTTTATCAGTAATATTTAATTGTTTTGTAACTTATCAAGTAAGACAAGTACCTTTGTCACTGGTGATCTCTCCAGAAAGGTCACATGAGAAACTTCCTCCCCCCGCCCCCCCTTTTTTTTTTGAGATGGAGTCCCACTCTGTCGCTCAGGCTGGAGTGCAGTGTTGCAATCTTAGCACACTGAAACCTCCACCTCCTGGGTTCAAGTGATTCTCCTGCCTCAACCTCCCGAATAGCTGGGATTACAGGCACCCACCACCATGCCCAGCTAATTTTTGTATTTTTAGTAAAGATGGGGTTTCACCATTTTGGTCAGAATGGTCTCGAACTCCCGATCTCAGGTGATCCACCCACCTCAGCCTTCCAAAGTGCTGGGATTATAGGCGTGAGCCACCGCGCCTGACCAAAAATACATTTTAAATAATGTTTTAGCTATTGTTATAACATCAGCTCTCTTGCATGAGAAAGCTTGCATATAACCAAAGAATATTAATTGAAAATGACAATGGGATGGGTACAGTGGCTCATGCTGCACCCATCCCGTTGTCAAACTTCATGGTTCCAACTATTTGACATTCTGAAAAAGGCAAAACTATGGAGGTAGCAAAATAATCAGTAGCCTGGAGTTTGTGAAAACTGAGGAATAAATAGGCAGAGCACAGCAAAATTTTAAGGCACTACAGGTACTCTATATGACTCATGTATCCTATAATGGTAAATACATGTCCTTATACATTTGTTCAAACCCATAGACAATATAACAAAAAGAGTGAGACCTAATAGAAACAGCGGATTGTGGGTGATAAAAATGTGTTAATGTGGCCGGGTGTGGTAGCTCACACCTGAAATCCCAGCACTTTGGGAGGGCGAGGCAGGCAGATCACGAGGTCAGGAGATCAAGACCAGCCTGCCAACATGGTGAAACCTCGTCTCTACTAAAAATACAAAAATTAGGCTGGCACCCATAATCCCAGCTACTCAGGAGGCTGCAGCAGGAGAATCATTTGAACCCAAGAGGCAGAGGTTGCAGTGAGCCAAGATCGAGCGATTGCACTCCAGCCTGGATGACAGAGGGAGACTCCATCTCAAAAAAAAAAAAAAAAAAAAGTGTTAATATAAATTCATCAGCTGTAACAATGTAGAACTCCCATGGGTGGACAATGGGGAAAACTGGGTATGTGTGGAACAGGATATATATGAGAACACTGTACCTTCTTCTAAATTTTACTGTGTAAACTTACATAACTTTACTGAAAGACATAAAAAAAAGTTTGAAAATCAATCACATCTTTAGATCAGAAAAAATGGTGAAATAAAGATCATAATGACATAAACTTGGTGCATTTAAAACCTAAAAGAAACATGTATTTTCAAAAATAATTTTCAGAATGGAGGGGATCATGGCGGATGGAAGGCAGGACTAGATTGCAGCTCCAGATAGAGCACCATCTGGAGGCTTCCATTGTGAATTTTATCTCCAGATTGACTGCAAGAAAAACCAGCACTACTGAGAGGACCCACATACCCTCTGAAGGAAGTGGACTGCTCCTGCAGGACCCAGGAGATACCTCAAATACTGTGAGTGCCCCAACTGCAGAGGTGGAAAAGGGAGACGCTCCTCCCCCTAACACATCCTCCCACTGGAGAAGCTTCTGTTTGCAGAAATTTTCCAACTTTAGAATGAATTAGAGAGGGTTCCTTCTTTCTCTATCATGTGGAATAGTGTCAAAAGTAGTCAAAATAGTGTCAAAAGGATTGGTACCAATTCTTCTTTGAATGTCTGGTAGAATTCTGCTGTGAATCCACCTGGTCCTGGACATTTTTTGTTGGTAATTTTTAAATTACCATTTCAATCTTGCTGCTCATTATTGGTCTGTTCAGGGTATCTAATTCTTCCTCATTTAAGCTAGGATGGTTGTATTTTTCCAGGAGTTTATCTATCTCTTTTAGGTTTTCTAGTTAATGTGCATAAAGGTGTTGAGAGTAGGTTTGAATGATCTTTTGTATTTCAGTGGTGTCAGTTGTAATATCTCCTGTTTAATTTCTTAGTGAGGTTATTTGGATTTTCTCTCTTCTTCTCTTGGTTAATCTTGCTAATGGCCTATCAATTTTATTTATATTTTCAAAGAACCAGGTTTTTGTCTCATTTATCTTTTGTAATTTTTGTTTCCATTTCATTTAGTTCTGCTCTGATCTTGATTATTTCCTTTCTTCTGCTGGGTTTGGGTTTGGTTTGTTCTTGTTTCTCTAGTTTTTTGAGGTGTGACCTTAGATTGTCCGTGTTCTTTCAGATTTTTTGATGTAGGCATTTAGGGCTATGAACTTTCCTCTTAGCACCACCTTTGCTGTATCCCAGAGGTTTTGATAGGTAGTGTCGTTATTGTCATTCAGTTCGAAGGATGGTTTAACTTCCACCTAGATTTCATTTTTGACCCAATGCTCATTCAGGAGCAGGTTATTTGATTTCCATGTGTTTGCATGGTTTGGAAGGTTCCTTTTGGAGTTGATTTCCAGTTTTATTCCACTGTGGTCTGAGAGAGTGCTTGATATAATTTCAATTTTCTTAAATTTAGTGAGGCTCATTTTATGGCCTATCATATGGTCTATCTTGGAGAAAGCTCCATGAGCTGTTGAATACAATGTGTATTCTGTGGTTGTTGGATAAAATGTTCTGTATGTATCTATTAAGTCCATTTCTTCCAAGGTGCAATTTACATCCATTGTTTCTTTGTTGACTTTCTGTCTTGATGACCTATCTAGTGCTGTCAGTGGAGTATTGACGTCCCCCACTATTATTGTGTTGCTGTCTATCTCATTTCCTAGGTCTATCAGCAATTGTTTTATAAATTTGGGAGTTCCAGTGTTAAGTGCATCTATATTTAGGATTGTGATATTTGGTTACATGAGTAAGTTCTTTGGTGTTGATTTGTGAAGGTTTGGTGCACCCATCACCTGAGTTGTATACACTGCACCATATTTGCAGTCTTTTCTCCCTCTCCTTCCTCCCTCTCTTCCCCCCAAGTCCCCAAAAAGCCCATTGTATCATTCCTACACCTTTGCATCCACATAGCTTAGCTCCCACGTATGAGTGAGAACATTTGATGTTTGGTTTCCTTTTTTGATTTACTTTACTTAGAGTAATAATCTTTCATCTCATTCAGGTCACTGCAAATGCTGTTAATTCATTCCTTTTAAGGGCTGCAAAGTATTGCATCATCTATATATTACCACAGTTTGTTTAGCCACTTGTTGATTGATGGGAATTTGGGTTGGTTCCATGACTTTGCTACTGTGAATTGTGCCACTGTAAACATGCGTGTGCAAGTATCTTTTTTGAATAATGATTTATTTTCCTCTGGGTAGATACCCAGTAGTGGGATTGTTGGGTCAAATGGTAGGTCTACTTTTAGTTCTTTAAGGAATCTCCACACTGTTTTCCATAGTGGTTGTACTAGTTTACATTCCCAGCAGCAGTTTAGAAGTGTTCCCTGTTCACCACGTCCACACCAACATCTACTGCTTTTTAATTTTTTGATTATGGCCATTGTTGCAGGAGCAAAGTGGTATCGCACTGTGGTTTTGATTTGCATTTCCCTGATCATTCGTGATGTTGAACATTTTTTCATATGTTTGCCATTTGTATATCTTATTTTAAGAATTGTCTATTCATATCCTTAGTCCACTTTTTGACAACAGTCAGCAGAGTAAACAGACAACCCACAGAATGGGAGAAAATCTTCACAATCTATACATCTGACAAAAGACTAACATCTAGGATCTACAACAAACTCAAACAAATCAGTAAGAAAAAAAATCCCATCAAAATATGATATAACCAAATACCACCTGTACCCCAATAATTTATAGAAAATTAATAAAAATAATTTTCATGTATTATTCAAGAGAAACAATCATATTAAAAATAAAATGAAGGGGCTTGTCAAGTCTGATATAAATTCATAATTACATGTATTATCCTAGACAGCTCAAGGAGGACAGGACTCCTAGGGGAATGTCTGGCTCTGGGTTGCTTGCAGCCCACTCTCCCACACCTCCCTCTACCCGCCCCCCCACCCGCTTCCCCGACCCTAGCCATTGCAGTCTTGCTGCTACTGCCAGGCCACCGCCATTTTTTAAAGAGGCCCCAGCCTGACTTACAGGAGCAGAGCTTAAGTCGGCGCAGCCAATGCGCATGCGCGAGGCCTGAGCTGATTCTTGAGTCACAGAGACTTTCACGGTCCGCCTGGTGATGGGTCCCTGAGGCGTGGCAAAGCAGGACCCCTTCGTGGCAGTGCGTCGGTGTCGCGACTCCACCCTGACGTCTCCAGGAGCTCGAGAGGGATGGTCTCCGGACGCCAGGAGTCGCGGAGGGCCGACCAGGATGAAGAAACTTCAGGCGGAGTCCCAGGAGAGCAGCGCGGGATCCCAGCCTCAGCCTGCCCAGACGGTGTGTGGGCAAGTCTCCCCGCAACTCGCGCCCCCTCTGATCTACAGGACAGGCCTGCAGTATGCCCGTGGGCTGCTCTCTTACCCGATTGTCGTTCTCGCGGAGAGCAGAACCCGGCAGCCTCAAGGGCTACCTGGGGTTGGGTGTTTCTGTGCCGCTGCTGTATGTCTGTGTGTGTGTATGTCTTTCTTTCACTCCTTCCTCTCTCTCTCCTCTCTCCCTCTGTGGCTGTGTGTGCCCATGTGCGTGTGTGTTTTGGGATGAATGTGCCCTGTGCGCTGGAGGGCTGTTTCTTGCATGTCGGTCTGTATTTGGTGAGACTCTTTCTGTGTCTCTGCCTGGGACGTCTGACCAGTTGTTGGTCTTTTTCCCGGCGGTTCCAGTTTGGGTTTGTGAAGGCCTTGGCAATGCGGGTAGCTGCGATGGACCCGCAGGGGTTGAAATCTACTCCCCATCCTGAGAGGCCTCTTTTCTAGGATCAAGACGGTCTCACCACACCCAAGGATAGTATTTAAAAAAGCATCAGCGGAGCTCATTGTTCTTCTGCAGGAGAGGTGCAGACCGACCTCCAAGAAGATGGTTCTAACTCCTCCCGCCCTCTCTTCCCATTGAGAAATGGAGCCCCACCGCGACACAGGCTTGGAGAAGAAGTCGAGAACGGGATGTGGCAAGGATCTCTGTCACTCCAACGCTGGCCTTTCTGGCCAAGTCACCCGTTTGGCACTCCTTCCCGGAAGCCCATGGCGGTGGCATTGTGCTGTATCCCGCCTGGGCTCTGACCTCTACACTGTCCTCCCTCTTGCTCTGTCTGCCATGTTTCTGACGGGCCTGGATGCTTCTTGGTCTGGCTCAGTGTCTTCCACAGAGAACACTTTTGAGTCCATCAGGGAGAAACTGTGTGGAAATCCATTTCGTGAATGTTGTCATCATAAATCATCAAAATGTCATCTGATAGAACATATTTTTCTAAGTTAATTTACTTATGAGACATTTACAAGGGTATAGAATAATGTACTCAGTGAATGTAGTCCTCTCATTTAATCTTTGATGTTTTAGATGACGATATTTCTTTTTTTGAGACAGAGTCTCACTCTGTCACCCAGGCTGGAGTGCAGGAGGGAGATCACAGCTCACTGCAGCCTCGACTTCCCAGGGTCAAGGGTCCTCCAACCTCAGTTTCCCAAGTAGCTGTGGCTACACGCATGCACCACCATATCCAGCTTTTTGTAAATTTTGTAGAGATGAGGTTTTGCTGTCTTGCCCAGGCTGGTCCCGAACTCCTGGGCTCCAGCAGTCTGCCCACCTCGGCCTCCCAAAGTGCTGGGATTACAGGCATCAGCCATCAAATCTGCCTAGGATGACTTGGTTTTCTTATTGGCATATTCTATATTCACTAAATAAAGTATCTACAGTCTCAGTCCAGGTAGGGTAAGCAAAAATAAATAAATAAATAATCTACAGTAATTTTGCATACTTATATTCTAAATTTAGGTACAAATCCATAGCTTATATGGTCTAATTTTAAAGTTTTTTAAACAATATAAGTAATGGCCATGTAAATCTTTTCATAGCTTTTTTAAATTAAAATAGATTTGAAAGTATACCTAAATCATTTTGGGTTTTTTTGTTTCTGTTTTTGTTTTTTGTTTCTAGAGTGCAGTGGCATGATCTCGGCTCACTGGAACCCTTGCCTCCCAGGTTCAAGCAATTCTCTGCTTCAGCCTCCCCAGTAGCGAGGATTACAGGTGCCCGCCACCATGCCCAGCTAATTTTTTTTTTTTTTTTGTATTTTTTAGTAGAGACGGGAGTTCACCATCTTGGCCAGGCTGGCCTTGAACTCCTGACCTCATGATCTACCTGACTCGGCCTCCCAAAGTGGTGGGACTACAGGTGTGAGCCACCGCTCCCAGCCCCTAAATCTTAAAAATATAAAGAGACATTTTTTTAAAAATCAGTTTTAAATGAGTTTAGCATTACATTTCCAGTTGTTTATATTTCAATGAGGACTGACTGAATTGTATTTTTTAAAAAAAATCTGGCCAGGCACAGTGGCTCACGCCTGTAATCCCAGCACTTTGGGAGGCCGAGGCAGGTGGATCATCTGAAGTCGGGAGTTTGAGACCAGCCTGACCAACATGGGGAAACCCCATCTCTACTAAAAATACAAAAAATTAGACGGGCATGGTGGTGCATGCCTGTAATCCCAGCTTCTCGGGAGGCTGAGGTAGGGGAATCACTTGAACCCGGGAGGTAGAGGTTGCGGTGAGCCAAGATCAAGCCATTGCACTCCAGCCTGGGCAACAAAAGCGAAACTCCATCTCAGAAAAAAACAAAAACAAAAACAACAAAATCTCCATGTAGCCTTGAATTAGTAACACATCTATCTTTTCTTTGATGTGGTGTTTACTTCTCTTCACAGAAAGTTTGCATTCTTTTCTATTAGCAGTGAAAGAGATGCTGTACATGACAGTCTCATCTTTTATTCAAATGGAAAGATTATCAAACTATTTCTCAAGACAATGCTTTTAAATATTATTTATATATTAATCTTTTAAGTAAACAATTTCTATCTTATTCCCTATATACTAGTTGTATTATACTTTATTTTTTATTTTTAAATTATATTTTTATTTGGGTCACCAGGAGAAAGATTCACTTGTGGTTCAAATCAAGTGTTCAGAATCATAACAGGACAGAAAGGTTTGATCCCGAGCAAAGCCCTCAAGGGGGAAATCAAAACAGGCTGAAATAAGACAATACCCCATATAAAGAGATGAATGAGTGGCTACACACACACACACACACACACACACACACACCCCGATGATGTGCACAGAGGCACATTTCACATGGTCATTTCTGTTTCTTTTTAAATACTGGTTTGTGGGGTGGGATTTTGATTTTTCCAGCTACAAGAAAAGGCCCAAAAGTGCATATGTGAGGGGGGAAAGGCAGAAATTCAGCAATAAAGTAGATTTCCCTGGAGGAACATGAAGGGGAGGAAACAGGAAGCAGTGTTGGGACAGTTCACTCTTCTCACCCTTGGGCTCCCTGCGTTTTATTATTGGTCCACAAAAGTTATATTCACGTTGTAGCTTCCAGGCATCTTCCTTCCTGGGAGTAGACTGGCTGAAAGACCTCTGGGAACTGTAGAGAAGACCAGAGGCCCAGGCCAGCCTTCAGGGCTCTGTGCTTTTCTAGGGATGGATGGCTCTGGTAAGGAACAAAGATGCCCAGCAGCCCTGGGCCCCTCAGCACCAGTGTGAAGGTCCCTCCTCTCTCTGGGGATGTGTAAGAAAATGGCCCCTACTTTGAGGACAGAAAGAGTAGGAGGAGGAGGCCCTGCAGCAAGATTCCATGGCTGGCTCCCCTTGTCTGGGAAGGGAAACTAAGCTGAGCTATGACAGGCTGCTTCCTGCTGCTCTGGGCCCTCCTCCCACCACTCACCATTCTCCCAAATGCAGGTCTTCTAATGGGATGTGTCCCTGACCTTTGGTCCCCAAATCCACATTGTACTTTGAGAGCAAGAGGAAACAGAATGCACCAGCACCACCCCCAAGACTCCCAAGATCACTTCCCCAAGAGATTCTCTGCCTCCCCAGCCCCCAAACTGCCCAATATAAGATACTCTACCCACTTCCACCTAAGCTGGGGCCAAAAGGAAAAGGATTGGTCAGGCAGGGGCTCCTTGCCGTTATTTAGTCATTTCCTCAACCTCTGATTTGGAGCAAATATCCCCAAATACATTAATAAACAGTTGACAAAACACTCATGATGACTAATGACTGAACAGGCCCTGTCCCTCGCCTGCGGGTTACAATTGTGCAAAGGGACAGGAGGTCAACAGGAGAGCCCGTTTGGACTCAGGGTGAAGATGGGAGGGAGACAGAAGGGTGGCAAGAAAAACCAGAGATGAATAAAGTCAGGCCAGAGTTGTCACAGCCACCAACCAGCAGAGAGAAGGAACTTGAACACAGCACCATCATTCCCCTTCACATCCTGGAGGCTGTGCTTTCAGTTTTGTAGCCCGGGGACCCTCTTTCTTGTTTCAAAGGGGCTTTATGTGAGGGGGAGACCTGCAGGGAGAGCCCCCATGGTGAGATACACACAACGTGGGTGAAACGGGGTCCTTCTGGTACCCTATTCTGCAGCCCCAGACACAGATGGGAGAAGAAAATAAGCCTGGAGTGACAGAGCCTTCCCCCAGCCCTTACCCACAGTGAGCTGCAGACTCAAGGGCGGCCCCCACCTAGGCTACACCAGCCCCTTACCTTCTGCTCTGCACACTGCAAAGGCAGATGGCTGGGCTTTCTCCACTCAGAGATTCGGGAAGGAGGAATTCATTTCAAAGACAAGGGAAGGAACTTCTCTTCCCCCAGGGCCCTCTCCTCTCACTGTGGGTTTTGAGGAAATTATCAGGGGAAGAGGGCTCTGCACAGGCCCACAAACCCCCAACTGCACACAGGCCCAGAGACACCTGCGGACATGCCGCCTGCCCCATCTCTCACACTCGCGTGTCAGACACCCGCAGACGCTCATGCTCCTGCCTCTGCACGCCAGGTCTTGGAGACATAGTGGTCCCTGCCGGCTTTGTGCATTTGCAAGTCCACTTGGCATTGAGCTGGGGAGAGGAGGCCATGGAAGGCCCATGGCATCTTCCCAGCAGGAGCAGGGAGGGGCGGCCCACCTAACGCAGATCCCTGGAGTTGGGGGAGCTGCAGGGGAGAACTCCCCGTTCTCCTCCTTCCTGCGGCTGTCCTACAATTAAGAAAGGCGAATTTGACCCAAATCGTGCTTCCTGGGGCGCCCTTTGTTCACTGCAGGCCTGCGTGGGCAAGAGGCAGAATCACTGGATGCTAGGAACGCACGGGGAGGGGAGGGAGCGTTCGCCCCGCTCCTATCGTCGCCCTGGAGGAGGGAGAAGGTGGAGAGGGAGACCCCGGTGGAACAGCAGCCCCCTCTTTGAGAAAGAGAGGCAGGGCCCCTCGCACCGGTTCCTACACAAGGCGGAGCCCCGCCCTCATCCCAGGGACAAGGAGTGGCTCCCACTGTGGGGACTGCGTGAAGCCCCTGCCTGGGGGTCCTGGAGTCTCCGCCTCCCCCAACCACGGGAGGTGCGGGTGTGTGAGAAGCTGGGCGGGAGGATGTGAGGGGAGAAGGGAGGCGTCGAGGCCGGGGCGTGTCTCCCGTTCCAGCCCCCGAGAGGCCCAGGCCCCTCCATCAGGAGAGACACCCAAGCTGTCGGCCAAGGCCAAGGAGAAGCCTCCCGGGAAGGAGCTCGGAGGCGGCAGGAGACGGCTTCCGTCGGCAAAAGCAGCCGGAGCAGGGACAGGGTCTCAGGATGTGGCAGGGTTTAAAGAACAGAGGCGCTGAGGGCCGATGGGGCGCCCGGGCTTCGAGGCCTCCACGCTCTCGGCCGCCGTCCCTGGGTCTCCCGTGCGCCCCCGGCCTGCACTTCCCGCCACGCGGATCCGCTGCTGGTCAGCCCGGTCCTGAGGGAGCGCGGTCCTGCCGGCGGCGCTGCAGTCGCGAGGGGCCGCGCTGCCTGGGGAGCGGGGCTGCGGCTCCCGGCGGCCACCCAGGCCTAGGCCCCCGGCTGCTGCGGGCTGTGGCAAGGCTGCCGCCGTCCTGGGAACCTCGGCGCTCCGGATCAGGCCCTGACCCGCCAGACCACGCGCTCTTACCCTGCTCCTCCCGGCGTCCTGGCTCCGGGCCCCTTCTTGGTTCTTCACTCTCGGGACTCCAGGCGTGTCCCCGCCGCGCCGGAGCCTCTGCCGGGTTCTCAGACGCCCGGCGCCGCTGACTGCGGAGCGCGCTGGGCTGCTGGAGGCTCCGCCAGGCCCGTTCACAGCCCCGAGGACGCCGGCTCGAGTTCCCTTCCAGTCCGCCGGCGCCTGTCCGCGCTTGCCCGACTTTGTTTATTCCACACTTAGAGTTTTAAACTTAACGAGCTTTTCAAAAAATATTCTCTCCAATTCTGTGGATTGTCTTGTAGGTTTTTTGTTTGTTTATTTTGACAGGGTCTCACCCTGTCGCCCAGGCTGCAGTGCAGTGGCGCGATCTCGGCTCACTCACTGCAACCTCCGCCTCCCAGGTTCAAGCGATTCTCCTGCCACAGCCTCCTGAGTAGCTGGGATTACAGGCACCCGCCACCACGCCTGGCTAATTATTTTTTATTTTATTTTTTGTAGGGATGGGGTCTCCTTATGTTACCCAGGCTGGTCTCAAACTCCTGGGCTCAAGCGATGCTCCCGCCTTGACCTTTCAAAGTGCTGGGGTTACAGGTGTGAGCCACTGCGCCCAGCCCCATTTCTGAAATAAAAGATCCTCTTCTCACTGAAGTTAAATCCCCCCCACACTGGAATCTATCCCTGGCTCGGAGTTGTGTTTTATTTTGAACTTATAATTAGTCATATGATTAAATATTATATCCAGTCCCTTGTCCATCATTAATGACCCGTTTTAATCCTGTGATTTGTTTATCTCCAATTTATATCTTTTCCACGGATGTGTCCCATATGCGTTTCACATTATAAGTATTTAAAAATAATTACTCTTATGTTTTCTTTCCTGTCATATATACATATATGAAAAAAAGAAATAATGCAGCAATATCTGGTGTTCCATAAGAAAATTAAACCATAAATTTTACTTCTTAGTATGTTATATAGGTTAAATAAAATACTTTAGAAAGGAATTGCTTTTGAAAAAATTTATTTTATGATCCTAAACCTTTGAAAACAGGTGTAGCACAATTATATTAATCTTGGAGAAGTGCTCAGTTAGATATATCTCTATAGACATGCGTAGATATATAGGCATCGATATAGAGAAATATCAATTTTTCTTTAGCATGAAAAGGAAAGGCATTTCAACAATGGTGAACCAGGGAAAACATATCTCATTTAAACTGCTTAGACTGATAAAAATTTAAATGAATAAATATTTAACGTGATGATGAATAAGGACAGAATTCTAATACATTCCATATTAGGATTATAAAGTGTTTTCACATTTAGGAGTTGGCAACCAGACAATATCTATTAACATTTAAAACACAGAAAAGGGGCTGTGTGCGGTGGCTCACACCTGTAATCTCAACACTTTGGGAGGCTGAGGCAGGCAGATCACGAGGTTAGAAGTTTGAGACCAACCTGGCCAGCATGGTGGAACCCTGTCTCTACTAAAAATACATTTTAAAAAAATTAGCCGGGCATGGTGGCACGTGCCTGTAATTTCAGCTACCCAGGAGGCTAAGGCAGGAGAATTTCTTGAACCCGGGAGGCGGAGGTTGCAGTAAACCGAGATTGTGCCACTGCACTCCAGCCTGGGCGACAGAGCGAGACTCTGCCTCAAATAATTAAATAAATAAATAAAATACAGAAAAGAAGCACGTAGCAATGCTAGTCCTGAGAATCTCCCCGCAGGGCCACAAATGCAGGTGAAAAGACAAGAGCACAGTGCCGGACCCCAGTGTTTCCACCAGGTGACCTGTATCTGCCAGGATTTACAGAGGTTCCCCCCTTTCATGTATGCACTTTTTGCACATTTTCTGAGATTCCAACTTTATAATAAAATCAACAGTAAAACAAATTTAATTTTGATATATCATTTTTCAAAATAAAAAGATGTTCCAAAAGAGACCTTTTTTTGTTTGTTTGTTTGAGATAAAGTCTCACTCTGTCACCCATGCTGGAGGGCAGTGGCATGATCATGGCTCACTGCAACCTATGCCCCGGGTTCAAGTAATTCTCCTGCCTCAGCCTCCCGAGTAGCTGGGATTACAGGCACCTGCCACCATGCATGGCTAATTTTTTGTATTTTTAGTAGAGATGGGGTTTATCCATGTTGGCCAGGCTGGTCTTGAACTCCTGACCTTGTGAACCGCCCACCTCCACTTCCCAAAGTACAGGCATGAGCCACCATGCCCAGCGGAGGCCCTTTCAACTCACTGTGCTGCTGAAGGGTATGCCTGAGGCTACCCAGGAGAAAAGTCATTAATAAAGGCATGGAAAGCACTACTCTGTTTTTTCAGTCTCCTGTTTATGCCACAGTGGAGAAATAACCTGAGCTGAGCCCTGCTGACTTCTTCCCCAGCAGTGAGCCTGGACCTTAAAGCAGCATTGTTCCCTCCTCTCCACCAATGACTCCCAATCTGCCAGGCTGTGTTCACTGACATCAGCTGCATCTGAGGGTCACTAAGGCCAGTGGATCTAGGGGAGCTTTCTGCTGGGCCGGAATTCCTCCACTGTCGCATGCTGGACACAGCAGTGGACACAGCAGTCAGCTCCTTCATAGTTGATTCTTATACATTAAAATAATATTGGAGATTCTGAAACACACCAAGAAATATGGGACTTAATGTAACAGTGAAACAGCAAAATAATTCACATAACTAACTTCATTTCCATTTAAGGCACCTTCTTCTTTTCCTGCACATAGGTGAGGATAATTTTACAGCACTGAGATAAAATGAAAAGCAGCAATCATATAGTTTTTGAAACTAACTCTGAGGTTAAAGGGGAAGTATATAAACAACTATGTTTTGGTGGAGATTTACAGGAACATTGTGACCTGGCCAAGGACAAGGAAGTTCCCAACCTCCTCAGACCCTCGCTGGCTCCCAGGTGTCTGTGGTCCTTAGCCCCCTCTGGATCTCAACCCCCTCCCCTTTGCCAGCCCTTTACATAAAAAGACCCTGACATTTGTACTAACTTAACCTGCTTCTTTAGAACATTAGTCCACCATCTTCTTCATTTTCTGGATCTTCAAACTAAAGTCACCTTCCTTGCCCCAACTCCTTGTCTCCTGACATATTGGCTGGTGGGCAGGAGCAGAATGAGGTCGTGTTGGACTTGGTTACATTACTTTCTCTTCACAAAAAGTTCAGATTTCCTTGTGCAGTGGAAGAACGACTGTACTTGAGCGCTTCATCTTTTCTTCTAATTGAAACACTATCAAACTACATTTCTCAAAACAATTCACTGTATCATTCATATGTTATTGTAAGTGAATAACTGATATTTTATTCTCTACATACTAATTATACTTTGAAAATATATGCACTTTATCAGTAAAGATTTTCAGTACTCTCTAGCAATATTTTTTTCTAGAGTTATATTCCCAATAGTTATGTCATAAATTAAAGCCACATTTTTTGCTTAAGTATGTATACATTAAAAAACAAAAGAAGGCTGGGCGCAGTGGCTCACGCCTGTAATTCCAGCACTTTGGGAGGCTGAGGCGGGTGGATCACTTCAGGTCAGGAGGTTGAGACCAGCCTGGCCTACATGGTGAAACCCCGTCTGTACTAAATATACAAAAGTTAGCCGGGTGTGGTGGCGCATGTCTGTAATCCCAGCTACTTGGGAGGCTGAGGCAGGAGAATCGGTTGAACCCAGGAGGCAGAGTTTGCAGTGAGCTGAGATCTTGCCACTGCACTCTAGCCTGGGCAACAGAGCAAGACTCCACTCAGTCTCAAAAAAAAAATAGCTTTTTTGAGGGGGGATAGAGTTAACTGGTATGCTTAGATAGAAATTGTTATAATTTAATATTCATATATTCATATTTTTATATAATCATGGATATTTTCTAAAAAAATTGACAAGTTCCACAGAAATTGTTTTCTTTTACTACATGAGTAATGTAGGGAGAGATTTTTGATGAGTAATAGATCCCCTGGGACAACACTGGAGAACTCCACGTTGCTACTCCTCAACCCGTCTCAAATTCATCAAAAACACTTTTTAGTGGAAAGCTAAAAAAAGCTACAGGGGGCTTCTCTCCCCCAAAATTAAGCCAGGGTTCCTATCATTCATACATTTAGTCACCAGTTATGTCTCCCCGTTAGGCAATGAGCACAAACTTGTCAGTGTCACAGTGGAAGGGAAGCAGCAAATGACACTGCAAATAACTGGAAGGGGTGGGGGAGTCACATGAGATCAACGACAGAGACAGCATCACCAGAAATGCCTTTGCATCACAGACAGAGTAATGAAGACAAAGGAAGTCCCTGTCTTCATGTGGCTGACATTTTAGGGAGAAAAGGATGAAACTCCACAGTACAATTAAATATAGAATGGAGCATATCAGGAGGTAATAAGTTTTATGGAGAAAAATAAGGGTAGATTAGCACATGTTCCCAACAAAAATGACTGAGGCGAGGGACTCCTCAGCAGAGGTTTATTGAGCCAAGGTTTGAGGCTGCACCCAGAAACTTACACAAGTCATAGGAGCATCTGTACTTTTTCAGCTGGGGATGAAATCATGGAGGTGTCTAAAACTGTCTCCGCAAAGTCAGTTCCTGGGAGGGGGTCTTAGGACCAGGTGGCATCTCTTGGTCTGCTGAAACCCTAAATCAGAAAAGTATCTCAAAGACCAGTCCTTTAGGTCTCACAACTGTGATGTTATCTATAGGCGTGGTTGGGGAAATCACAAATCTGGTGACCCCCAGTTACATGACCCTGGGGCAGGAAATAACTTATAGAAAACAAGCTAAGCAATGGCAGGCACGGTTTAACCATCCCTGTTCTTTACAAACTTCACACCCTACCATAATTCTCATCTTGTCTTGTAAATGCATCTTCGATCTCTGAATGAGGAGGAGGTCAGCTTTCTTTGCTTCAAAGTTTAACTATACAGTAAATTCTTCTCATGGTTATCTTGGCCTCCATGATAGAATAAGCAAAAAAAGATTTAACCTGTGAGGTTAGAAGCAAGATGGAGTCAGTTATGTTAGATTGATCTCATGACTTATAATTCTACAAAGATGGTTTCAACTTCCAACAGGCCTTGGCCACGGATATGTGGAATTAGACTGAAGATTTCTCCTGGGAAACGGGCAGCAGAATGGACCTTAAAGATGAATGATAAAAACTTGCACAATGGGGCCAGGTGGGGTGGCTCACGCCTGTAATCCCAGGACTTTGGGAGGCCGAGGCAAGCAGGTCACCTGAGGTCAGGAGTTCGAGACAAGTCTGGCTAACATAGCAAAACCCTGTCTCTATTAAAAATACAAAAATTAGCTGGGCATGCTGGTGCACGTCTATAATCCAAGCTACTCAGGAGGCTGAGGCAGGAGAATCACTTGAACCCGGGAGGCAGAAGTTGTAGTGAGCCAAGATTGCACCACTGCACTCCAGCCTGGGTGACAGAGAGAGACTGTCTCTCACACACACACACACACACAAAATCCTCCACAATGGGAGGGGGTTTGCCCATAACCCAGGGTTGGTAGGTTACAGCCACCCATTGCTAGGCCTTGATCCTCATTACTCCTTCTTTTGAAATATGAGCTCAAAGACACCAACATAATCTGTGTAGCAACCCCCTTCACTCAGCTATGCCCAAGGATGACATAAAGTGAGACATCAGCCTCCAAGCCAATAACTGACAAATGGTTTAGTGGGGTTTCCTTGGTTAAAAAAATAGAGACTTATGTTTGCCTCAGATGGACCAGTGTCTCAGACATGCTCCTTCAGTTTGGAAGTCACAATGTAACAGTGGATGTGTTGAAGAAGCCCTTTAATGAAAAGAAGCTCAAGGCCATGTCAAAAGCTCCAACTTCTGAAAAGCTTTCTGCATTGGAATAAACAGTTGAATCAAGTGTATTTGAATGCATCGACCTGGCCAGTGGATCCGGGGAGAAAGGCAAGGGGTTTCATTTTAAGGACCGAACTAGGCCCCTTGTCCTCAGGAAATCATACAGGCATAGCATTGAATTGATGTCTTGGGCAAAGTGGACACAGTGGCAAGATATTTGAGGCTGAGATGAGACTCATTCTGGGACTGCACTCCTATATACCCGTCTTCATGGGCCTTTCCACTGTGACTCTGCCTGAGGGCAGAAGAGATGTGGGTGTGGACATGGGGCTGGGGTGGGGCAGGGACCATGCCAGAACAATAGCTGACTGGGCTAAAGGCAGAGGAGTCCCTATTCTGGGACAATTCTGTTACCACTAAGCTACCAGTTGCTATGAGGACTTCCTTTTTCTATCTTTTTTTTTTAAAAGACCTGAGTCTGAGCTATTATGTATGTACATTTTTATAGCCGTGTTTTCACCCTGTTGCCCAGGCTGGAGTGCAGCAGCTATTCACAGGCACGATCCTTGCACACTACGGCCTCAAACTGCTGGCCTCAAGGGATTCTCCACTTCGGCCTCCCCAGTATCTGGGACTACAGGCTGGGACTACAGGTGTGTGACACCATCCCCATCCTGATCTACTGCAGATTCTCTTGATTTCTGGGTAAACAGACTGACTGCACCATCCTATCCTGTCAAATCACTTGCACAAATACTTCTACTTTAAGAGTTCTTCCACCTTGTCCAGAACCATAATCCATCAACCCCATTATTTGATCTCTCAAAAGAATAAACAAATGACACACTGACCCATCAAAACACACACGTCCTTTCCCCAAATACCAAACACAAAAAACACAGCTGGTCTTCTTCACTTCACCCACTTGAGAGAGTCACTTTCTTATGAGTACCTTTAACTCCCTGATTTACTGCTGTGCTTTTTCTGGCACAATCCCATACTTGGATGAGCCCCACACTATGTTTCTTCAATGATGTCACTCAGCTGAGCCAGATACAATGTAGAAAAGTAGCCAGGTGGTATCAACACAAATTCAAAACTAGCTACACACCAGATTGGCCATAAACACTGTCCAGAACTTACTAAGTTCACATTTGGCTGATAAAACCCTTTCCTCAGAAACCCAACATCTCTAACAATCTTCTCCATGTCCTTTGAACCTTTACTCATGTGGCTTTTACCTGGTATCTTGCCCAATAATTCATACAAAAATTAGATCCCATGAGGCAAGAACAGCCTCATCTTTCTACCATCTCTAAAGATAATATGCACAGGTCTGTAACTTTCTAGCCTTCTTTATTTCATCATGTCAGTAAAAGGATACACCATAGATAAGAGAATGAGAAGACATCCAGTCTCATTTGTAAGGTAATGTTATAATGAAATTACATTTTTCTTTTGTTTTTTTGTTTGTTGTTGTTGTTTGTTTGTTTGTTTTTTGAGGCAAAGTCTCAATCTGTCACCCAAGCTGGAGTGCAGTGGCATGATCTTGGCTCCCTGCAACCTCTACCTCCCAGGTTCAAAAGATTCTCCTGCCTCAGCCTCACAAGTAGCTGGGATTACAGGCATCCGCCACCATGCCTGGCTAATTTTTGTATTTTTAGTAAAGACGGGTTTTCACCATGTTGGTCAGGCTGGTCTTGAACTCCTGACCTCAGGTGATCCACCCACCTCAACCTCCCAAAGTGCTGGGATTACAGGTGTGAGCCACTGCGCCTGGCCCACATCTTTCTTTGTGCCGTTATTATTTCTTCATGAAATCAATGCTTCATTATGCAAACATGGTCCCATGGACTATCTTTTTTAAAAATGGCAATAATATGGCCAGTTCCTTACAAAACTAAACATGCCCTTAGCATACAATTCAGCAATTGTGCTCCTTTTTCTTTGCCCAAAATAGTTTTTTTTTTTTAACTTTTAAGTCAGGGGTATATGTGCAGGTTCCTATTACCTTGTTATATAGGTAAACTTATGTCATGGAGATTTGTTGTACAGATTATTTTATCAGCCAGGTAAAATAATCTGGGAGGCCAAGGCAAGAGGATCACTTGAGGTCAGGAGTTTGAGAGCAGCTTGGCCAACATGGTGAAACTTCTTCTCTACTAAAAATACAAAAATTAGGCTGGTGTGGTGGCACGTGCCTGTAATCCCAGCTACTCAGGAGGCTGAGGCAGGAGAATCGCTTGAACCCAGGAGGCAGAGGTTGCAGTGAGCCAATATCATGCCACTGCACTTCAGTCTGGGTGAGAGACAAATAAATAAATAAATAATAAAAATTAAAAATCTACATATTTAATTATGTAATTACTGCCATCATATCTCTCTCAGAACACTGATCCAAGAACAACAAAAATAATAAAGATGATACACTCTGCTAATTAAGCAAATTTCCTTTTTTTCTTTGTGAAACCAATTGACAAAATTCTTCAGTTTTTGGTTTTTAGGAATAATTTCCACTAATTTATTTTCAGTGGAGTTTTGCAGGTGCCCCAAACAAAAACACCAACAATGACCAATTTCATTGGGAAAGTACTAAATTTAACAAACTTTATTTTTTGATCAATGAAGACTTATTTTTAATTTTACTTAAACATTTTAGATTTAGCCTTGGATAATAAAATTAATTAATATAGGGAATGTTTACTAACATATATAAATTCACTGACACATATAAAGACTTGTTAGTTAGAATGTCAATTTAATATTGATCAAGGTTGCCTGACAAAAATAAACTTTAGGTAAACTTAAGTTTGATGCATTCTGTTTATAATCTTGTACCTCTGTTTTCATTCTGATTTGGCATGCTGCATAGCTGGGGTCTTTTTTTTAATTTCAGGTGGATTATGGCCACTCTTTTCTTCTCTTAAGTCTTAGTTGATTTTTCTTCCAGAAACAATTTTAAGATCTGCAGAGCTGCATCTGGATCAAGCAGTTGGGTTGGAGGAATATGAACCGTTAAATCACAGAAGAGCTTATTTTCAATTGTCATAGCTAACATTGAGTCTATGCCTAATTATGTAAGCAATGTGGATACTGGAATGTCTTGAGTTTTGTATTCATGAATTCTGTAGCTCATCTGTTGATACTTAAGATGAATAATGAGTAAAAACCAAGTCAAACTCTACCAGAAAATTGAATTTATCTTAGAATTCTTTGCAGAAATAAATTCTGTTAGATGGAACTTAGGAAAGTTTTCCTGTAATTTCTTGAAATAAAATTTGACAGTATATTGTAGTCTGATCATTCTGCATTCTTCATTCTGATTTTCCAGCAACTTGCTTTTAGTAAACTGCTTAGATGTTTGATTTCTCAATAAAATAATCACAACAAAATAATCTCCTTTCTTTATAATAAACATCACCATTTCAAATCCAAAGCCAGACAGCCCCCTTGACATGGCTTGTTGAGAATTATTCAGAATCAAGCATGATTCAAGATACTGATGGATGTGCGGTATTTGAAAAGTTAGTATTCCTTTGGTGGCTAAAATGCTTTGAAGATAATGTTTTTTCAGCAGTCATTCAAGACTCAAGGCTCTCCAGTTAATTGATTGTCCAGTGAGACCACAGTTCCTGTGATAGTAGCAGAACATGTCCAGCAAGGAGTTAGCAGCAGCATAGTTGGCTTGTATTGCATTTTCAATTAAAGCAGAGACTATTAAATAGCACTCAGAATTATCAAGTTTCTGCCCTCTTGTCAAAAGGTGAAAATGTACTACTCCATTTACTTTGGGGATTAACACTTTCTCCACTCAAGAAGAGATGTCGAGAGCTTCCAGGGGCCCATCGTTCAAGACTGTGGCACTAAAACAATACACCTAAGATTTTACTCTGGAAAGGTATTTACTATTAAATGCTCTGCCTTTTTCACCTCAGAATGAAAAATGATATGACACTGTAGCCTGATCACTTTGCATTCTTCACTCTGATTTTCCAGCAATTTGCATTCTTTTCAAATGCTCATAAGTTGGATATCTCAATGAAATAATCACAACAGGCCCATCTCCTTGAACAGTTTGAAGGTTGCTCAAAAAACTAAACATTGATCTGCCATATCAACCATATCATTGAACAATCTCATTTTTGGTGTATACCCAAAAGAAAGGAAATCACTTTATCAAAGAGATATCTGCACGTTTATGTTTGCTGCAGCACTGTTTATGATAACTAAGATTTGGAAGCAACCTAAGTGTCCATCAGCAGATGAATGGATAAAGAAAATGTGGTACAGATACACAATGGAGTACTATTTAGCCATAAAAAATGAAAGCCAGTCATTTGCAACAACATGAATGGAACTGAACATCATTATGTTAAGTGAAATAAACCAGGCACAGAAAAGACCAACATCACACATTCTCACTTATTTCTGGAATCTAAAAATCAAAATAATTGAACTCATGGACATAGAGAGTAGAAGAGTGTTTACCAGAGTTGGGAAGGGTAGTGAGAGGGTGGGGGGAGGTAGGAATGGTTCATGGCTACCAAAAAATAGAATGAATAAAACTTACTATTTGATAGCACAACTGGGTGAGTAGTGTCAATAATAACTTAATCATATATTTGAAAATAACATAAAGAGTGTAAGTGGATTGTTTGTAACTCAAAGAATAAATGATTGGGGGTATGGATATCCCATTCTCCATTATGTGCTTATTTCACATTGCATGCCTGTATCAAAACCTGTCATGTACCCCACCAATACTATGTATCACAAAAATTAAAAATAAAATAGAGAAAAGAACCATCTCCTTTCTGCACAATAAACATCACAGTTTGAAATCCAAGACTAGAGAGCCCCCGCTGATACAACATACACTCCATTTGCCTTGAAGAGTTTCCCCTTTGCTCTATACAAGGGTATTTGTAGAAGTCGACATTCTGGAACATTGACTTCTAACACAGCAAGTCGGATAGCCACACATGTGAGATACAATGACAGAGCAAGATTCACCAGTGCATTCTGTTGAAACAGTGAGCAAGCCAAATTCAAGTTATTTTCCAAATTCATTGATTGTATCCACTTAAAGGTCTGTGGGACACCATCAGAGTTTCTGCAAAACCTGGCTAAGACTTAGAATGTGGACTTGAAGGTGATTGTGATCATAATGTAATACTTGCTATAAAAACTCAGGTTGGTGTTGGCCACATATGACTATAACAGTCCGGTGGGGAAAGTCAAAGAGTGTTTCTTTGACAAGTTCCTCTAAAGGTGGCAGTAAACTTAATGCCTTTCAGTGTCTCCTTTTTGCCATAGACCCAGAGAGAGCGAGAAACACTTGACAACCCCAGATTACTTCCTTAGCAGCCAAGGCCAGCATTTTACCTAGAATGGATTTTGGCTGTGGGGAGAACATGGCAAGCATGCAGAGATGTTTGGCATTTGGTAATACCTGGGTGAGAGTTTTCCAAGCTCTTATGAAGTATATAATGCACAAGGCCCATTTCTAAATATTGGAAACATCTTGCTGTGAAAGCTGTGAAAGGAATCCAATGGAATCATCATCAAATGGAATCGAATGGAATCATCATAGAATGGAATCAAAAGGAATCATAGTGGAATAGAATCGAATGGAATCATTGAATGCAATGGAATGGAATCATCAACGAAAGCAATCGAAGGGAATCATCGAATGGAATCAAGTGGAATCATCAAATGGAATCCAATGAAATCATCATCGAATGGACTCAAATTGAACTATCATTGAATGTAATCGAATGGAATCATCGAATGGACTCGAATGGAATAATTGAATGGATTCCAGTGGAATCATCAAATGGAATCGAATGGAATCAACGAATCTACTCGAATGGAATCATCATCAAATGTAATTGGATGGAATCAATGAAGGGACTTGAATGGAATCTTCAAATGGACTCTAGTAGAATCATCATCGAATGGAATCGAATGTAATCGTAGAATGGACTCGAATGGAATCATCATCAAATGGAATCAAATGGAATCACTGAATGGAGTCGAATGGAATCATCATCAAATGAAATTAAGTGGAATCACCGAATGGACACGAATGGAATCATCATCAAATGGAATCAAATGGAATCATCGAATTCACTCAAATGGAATCATCGTGGAATGGAATTGAAAGCAATAATCGAATGGATTCTAATGGAATTATCGAACGGACTCAAATGGAATGATCGAATGGACTCGAATGGAATCATCGTCAAACAGACTCTAACGGAATGATTGAATGGACTCTAAAGGAATCATTTAATGGAAACGAATGGAATCTTCAATTGGACTCAAGTGGAATTATTGAATGGGCTCGAATGGAAACATCGAATGGACTCGAAAGGAATCATTATAGAATGGAATCGAATGGAATCATCAAACGGAATTGATCGCAATCATCATCGCATGGAATCAAATTGAATCATTGAATGGAATCGAATGCAGTCATCTTCGAATGGAATTGAATGGAATCATCATTGAATACAATCGAATGGAATCATTGAATGGATTCAAATGGAATCATCGAATGAAATCCAATGGAATCATCATCAAATGGAATCGAATGGAATCATTATCGAATAGAATCGAATGGAAACATTGAATGGAATCATCATCAAATGGAGGCCAGTGGAATCATCGAATTGACTCGAATGAAATCATCATTGAGTGGAATCAAATGGAATCACTGAATGGAATCGAATGGAATCATCATCGAATGGAATCTAATGGTATCATTGAATGCACTCTAATGGAATCATCAACGAATGGAATCGAATGGTATCATCAAATGGAATCGAATGGAGTCATCTTTGTGTGGAATCCACAGGAATCACCAAATGGACTCTAATGGAATAATCATCAAAGGGAATCGAGTGGAATCATTGAATGTACTCGAATGGAATCATCGAATGCAATCCAATGGAATCATATAATGGAATCGAATGGAATCGTCAATGAATGGGATCAAATGGAATCATCGAATGGACTCGAATGGAATCATCATTGAGTGGATTCGAATGGAATCATCGAATATACTCGAATAGAATCATCATTGAATGGAAAAGAATGGAATCATCAAATGGACACGAATGGAAACATCGTCGAATTGAATCATACAGAATCATCAAAAGAAATCGAATGGAATCATCATCAAATGGAATGGAATGGAATCATCAAATGGAATCAAAAGGAATCACCAACGAATTGAATCAAATGGTATCATGGAATGGAATTGAAAGGAATCATCTGCAAGTTAAATCTAAAGGAATCACCGAATGGACTCCAAAGGAATAATCATCGAATGGAATCCAGTGGAATCATCAAATGTACTTGAATGGAATCATCGAATGGACACGAATGGAATCATCATCGAATGGAATCGAATGGAATCACCATCGAATGGAATCAAAAGGAATCATTGAATGGACACGAATGGAATCTTCATTGAAAGGAATAGAATGGAATCATCATCGAATTGAATCTAATGGAATCACCATGGAATGGAATCGAATGGAATCATCGAATGGACTCGAATGGAATCACCCTCGAATGGAATCGAATGGAATCATCAAATGGACTCGAATGGAATCATCATCGAATGAAACCAAATGGAATCATCGAATGCAACACAATGGACTCATTGAGTGGATTCGAATGGAATCGTCATCGAATGGAATTGAATGGAATCATTGAAGGCACTCGAAAGGAATCATCGAATGGACTCGAAAGGAATCATCTTCAAGTGGAATTGAATGGAATCATCGAACGGACTCGAAAGGAATCTTTGAATGGACTCGAATGGAATCATTATCAAATGGAACCTAATGGAATCATCGAATGGACTCGAATGGAGCCCTCATCGATTGTAATCACAGGGAATCACTGAATGGACTCGAATGGAAACGTCAAATGGCCTCAAATTGAATCACCATTAAATGGAATCAAATGGAATTATTGAATGGACTTGAATAGAATCATCGAATGGACTCGAAAGCAATCATCATCAAGTGGAATCGAATGAAAACATCGAATGGACTTGAATGCAATCATCGAATGGCCTCGAATGAAATCATCATCGAACAGAATCGAATGGAATCATCACATGAACTCGAATGGAATCAAGGAATGGACTTGAATTGAATGACCATTGAATGGAATCGAATGGAATCATCATCGAATGAAATCGAATGGAATCATTGAATGGACTCGAATGCCATCATCATTGAATGGAATCGAATGTAATCGAATGTAAGCATTGAATGGACTCGAATGGAATCATCATTGAATGAAATTGAAAGGAATCATCTAACAGAATCGAATGGAACCATCAAACGGCATCGAATGGTATCATCATTGAATGGAATCATCGAATGGAATCGAATGGAATCATTATCAAATGAAATTGATGGGAATCATCAAATGGCATCAAAAGGAATCATCATCCAATGGAATCAAATGGATTCATCTAACGGACTCATTTGGAATCATCATTCAATAGAATTAAGTGGAATCATCGAATGGACATGAATGGAATCGTTATCAAATGGAATCAAATGGAATCATCATCAAATGGAGTCGAATAGAATCATCATAGAATGGAATGGAATGGAGTCATCTAATGGAATAGAATGGAATCATCATCGAATGGAATCAAATAGAATCATCTAACGAAATCAAATGGAAGCATCATCGAATGGAATCGAAAGGAATCATGATCGAATGGAATTGAACGGAATCATCATCAAATGGAATCGAATGGAATCATTCAATGGAATTGAATGGAATCATCATCGAATGAAATGAAATGGAATCATCGAATGGACTCGAATGGAATCATCATTGAATGGAATCGAATACAATCATCGAATGGACTTGAATGGAATCATCATCGAATGGACTCAAAAAGAATTATCAAATGGACTCGAATTGAATCATCATCGAATGAACTCAAATGGAATGATCGAATGGACTCGAATGGAATCATGGATTGGACTCAAATGGAATTATCAAATGTGCTCGAATGGAAACATTGAATGGACTCGAATGGAATCATTATCAAATGGAATCAAATGGAATAATCGAATGGATTCGAATGGAATCATCTAATGTAATCGATCACAATCATTATCGAATGGAATCAAATGTAATGATCAAATGGAATCGAATGAAGTCATCATCGAATGGAATCGAATGGAATCATCATCGAATAGAATTGAATGGAATCATCGAATGGAATCGAAAGGAATCATCCTCAAATGTAATCGAATGGAATCAGTGAATGGAATCAAATGGAATAATCGAATGGAATTGAATGGAATCAGCATCGAATGATATCGAATGGAATCATCATCGAATAGAATTGAATGGAATCATTGAATGGAATCATCATCAAATGGAGTCAAATGGAATCATCAAATGGACTCGAATGGAATCATCATAGAATGGAATTGAATGGAATCATCGAGTGAAATCAAATGGATTCATTACTGAATGGGATCGAATGGTATCATGGAATGCACTTAAATGGAATCAGCAACGAATGGTATCGAATGGTATCATTGAATGGAATTGAATGGAATCATCTTCAATAGGAATCAAAAGGAATCACCGAATGGACTCGAATGGAATAAACATCGAAAGGAATCAAAAGGAATCATTGAATGGAATCGAATGGAATCATCATCAAGTGGAATCGAATGGAATCATCGAATGGAATCAAATGGAATCATCATCGAATGGAATACAATGGAATCATCATGGAATGGAATCCAACGGAATCATCATCGAATGTAACTGAATGATAACATCATTGAAAGGAATCGAATGGATTCATCATCAAATGGAACCGAACGGAGTCATCATCGAATAGAATCGCATGGAATCATCATCGAATGGAATCGAATGGAATCATCATCAAACGGATTTGAATGGAATCGTTGAATGGAATTGAATGGAATCATCATCAAATGAATTGAATGGAATCATCAAATGGTCTCGAATGGATCATTATCAAATGGAATTGAATGGAATCACCAAATAGAATCGAATGGAATAATCATCAAATGGATTCAAATGGAATTATCATCAAATGGAATTGAATGGAATTATCAAATGGAATTGAATAGAATCATCAAATGGACTCGAATGGAATCATTGAATGGAATGGAATGGAATAATCAATAAACTCGATTGGAATCATCATTGAATGGAATTGAATGGAATCATAGAGAGGAATAAAATGGAATAATCATCAAATGGATTCATACGGAATCATAATCGAACGGAATTCAAAGGAATCATCATCGAAGGGAATCGAATGCAACAATCGAATGGAATCTAATAGAATCATCATCGAATGGAATCGACCGGAATCATCGAATGGAATAGAAGAGAATCATCATTGAATGGAATCGAATGGAATCATCAATGAATGGAATCGAATGGAATAATCAGCGAATGGATTCATACGGAATCATCATCGAATGGAATTGAATGGAATCATCTTCGAATGGAATTGAATGGAATCATGATCAAATGGAATCAAATGGAATCATCATTGAATGGAATCGAAAAGAATCATCATCAATTGGAGTTGAATGGAATCGTCATCAAATGGAATCTAAAGGAATTATCATCAAATGGAACCGAATGGAATCATCATCGAATGGAAACGAAAGGTGTCATCATCGAATGGAATTGCATGGAATCATCATCTAATGGAATCGAATGGAATCATCATTAAATGGAATCTAATGGAATCATCAAATGGAATTGAATGGAATCATCATCGAATGAATTGAATGGAATCATCGAAAGGTCTCGAATGGAATCATCTTCAAATGGAAACGAATGGAATAATCGCATAGAATAGAATGGAATTATCATCGAATGGACTCCAATGGAATCAACATCAAACAGAATCAAATGGAATTATTGAATGGAATCGAAGAGAATCTTCGAATGGACTCGAATGGAATCATCTTCAAATGGTATCGAATGGAATAATCACATAGAATCGAATGGAATTATCATCGAATGGACTCCAATGGAATGAACATCAAACGGAATCAAACGGAATTATCAAATGGAATCGAAGAGAATCTTTGAATGGACTCGAATGGAATCATCGAATGGAATGGAATGGAATAATCCATGGACACGAATGCAATCATCATGGAATGGAATCGAATGGAATCATCGATTGGACCCGAATGGAATAATCATCGAATGGAATTGAATGGAATCATCATCGGATGGAAACGAATGCAATCATCATCGAATGGAATCGAATGGAATCATCATCGGATGGAAACAAATCGAATCATCATCGAATGGATTCGAATGGAATCATCAAATGGAATCAGATGGAATCATCATTGAATGGAATCGAATAGAATTATGGAATGAAATCAAATGTGATCATCATCGAATGGACTTGAATGGAATCATCATCCAATGGAAACTAATGGAATCAACATCGAATAGAATCGAATGGAAACACCATTGAATTGAAACGAATGGAATTATCATGAAATTGAAATGGATGGACTCATTCAATGATTCGAATGGAATCATTGAATGGAATTGATTGGAATCATCAAATGGTATCGAATGGAATCATTGGATGGAATCGAATGGAATCAACATCGGACCGAAATGAATGGAATCATCATACAATGGAATTGACTGGATTCATTGAATGGAATCAGATGGAATCACTGAATGGACTTGAATGGAATCATCAAATGGACTCGAATGGAATCGTTATTGAATGGAATTGAATGGAGTCCTCGAATGGTCTTGAATGGAATCATCATCGAATGGAATCTAATTTAATCATCAAATGGAATCGAATGGTATCATCATCTCATGGAATTGAATAGAATTGGCATATAATAGAGTCGAATGGAATCATCATCAATGCAATCGAATGGAATTTTCTTCAAATGGAATCGAATGGAAACATGACCGATTAGAATCAAATGGGATCATCGAATGAAACTGAATGGAATCATCATCAAAACTAATCAAAATAAAACAAAGAATGGTATCCAATGGAATCATCGAATGGAATCAAATGGAATCATCATTGAATAGACTCAAAAGGTGTCATCATCGAATGGAATAAAATGGAATGATTTAAATGACTCGAATGGAATCATTGAATGGACTCGAATGGAATCATCAAATGGAATCTAATGTAATCATCATCGAATGAAATCAAATGCAATCTTCTAATCGAATGGAATGGAATCATCATCGAATGGAATCGAATGAAATCATGGAATGCACTCGAATGGAATCATTGAATGGACTCAAATGGAATCAACATTGAGTGGAATTGAAAGAAAACATCAAATGGAGTTGAATGGAATAACCTAATGGAATCACCATCGACTGAAACAGATGGAATCATCGAATGGACCCGAAAGGAATCATCATCGAATGCAATCAAATGGAATCATCGAATGGAATACAATGGAATCATCATCGACTGGCATCGAATGGAATCATCATCGAATGGAATCAAATGGAATCACCATCAAATGTAATCGAATGGAACCATCAATGAATGGAATCGAATGGAGTGATCGAATGGAGTCCGTTAGAATTATCATCTAATGGAACCGAATGCAGTCATCATCTAATGGAATCAAAAGGAATCATTGAATGGACTTAATGGAATCATCGTCGCATGGAATCAAATGGAATCATCGAATGGACTCAAATGGAATCATCATCGAACGGAATCGAATGGAATCATCGATTGGACACTAATGGAATCACCATCGAATGGAATCTTTCAATGGAATCGAATAGAATTATCATTCAATAGAATCGAATTGGATCATCATCGAATGGAATCTAATGAAATCATCATGGAATGGAATCAAGTGGAGTCATCATCTAATGGAATTTAATGGAATCAGCAAGGAATGGAATCGAATGGAGAAATCGAATGGAATATGTTGGAATCATCATTGAATGGAACTGAATGCAGTCATCATAGAATGGAATCCAATGGAATCAATGAAGGGACTCGAATTGTGTCATCATTGAATGGAATCAGATGGAATCATCGAGTGGACTCGAATGGAAACATCATCGTATGGAATCAAATGGAATCCTCGAATGGACTCTGATGGAATCATCATCGAATGGAATCGAATGGAATCAAATTGAATCATCGAATGGACTCTAATGGAATCATCATTGAATGGAATCGAATGGAATCATCAAATGGACTCGAATGGAATCATTGAATGGACTCGAATGCAATCATCATTGAATGGAATCGAGTGGAATCCTCGAATGGAATCAAATGGAATCATCAAATGGAATCGAACAGATTTATAAGAAACTTAGTTGAACCAAAAAATAGAAAAACAAACAAACCAAAACCCCCTAAAACTGTGATGAGCAAAGTAGACATCAGAACAGGAAATATCACTGGGGATGAAGAATAACATTTCAAATGACAAAGGGGATAATACACCAAGAAGTCATGTAAATAAGAAATATGTATGCACACAATAGCATTACTTCAAAATACATAATATTAAACCTATTAAAACTGAAAGGTAAAATAGTAAAACCACAGTCATCCCTGGGGATTTCAGCAGTCTCCTGCCAGAAATTTTTAAATTTTGTTAAACGAAAAGTTGGTAAGGATAGAGAGGATCTTATAAATATAATTAGCCAACTTGATCTAACTGAATCTTTTAGAATAATCTAAGGATGAGGAATGAGGTAGCAGAGAAAGAAAAGGCAGACATCAACGTGACATTAGTGTTTCAAGGCTATGAGAATACACCAATAATGGTGTGTGTGGGTGTGTGTGCAGACAGTAAGTTCAATCTTAAAAATATTGAGTTTTAACTGACAATTCATTATTAGGAAAGATAAGAGGAAATGATATCTAGTGAGAGGCTATATGACGGAACTCTAAGAGAAAGGTCACAGCAGAAATTGTGTACTTGACAGCTCTATAAGGAGGTGAGTCGAAAATAAGTCAGTGATGAATTCTCTGGTGTAAAAGCAGAGGAATGAGGATTAGATTTAAAACCCATGGAAGCAGAGTGACTTATGATAAAAACATGAGCTTGAAAATCTTGCAGCGAGGGCTTTAAATCCTGGGTATGATATTCTGCTTGTTTAGGCAATAGTGATAAAAACACAACAACAAAGAGAGGTAAAGAGCACTTTCCTTTGATATAAGTAAAGGGCACGTCTTATTGCACATATATATATATATATATATACACACGTGTATATATACACGTGTATATATATATACACATATATATACACGTGTATATATATGTGTATATATATATATACACGTGTATATATATATATACACACGTATATATATATATGTATTCAACTGAGATTCAACATGTTTCTCTCATTGAAACAGCAAGCTCTCCAGGCCTTCATGTTCCCAGTGAGGTAGGTAAACTTCTGATGATTATACTCACCCTCCCTCATTGCAAAGCTCCCATTGTTATTGTCTTGGCTCTGGATTCCCTCAAACATAGACTATGAAACAAATATATGGGGTCAGATACTTTAATCAGAAATTGAGTGAGAAAGCACAGAAGTGGAGAAAATGAAACAGAACACGAAGCCAGTGTGAATGAATAATTACTGCTATGTGCTCAATAATGATGGAGGTATGGAGATTGTGTCAAAGTAACTTTACAAAGAGATGGGGATGCTGGAATCCCCATCTCTTATTGCTTAAGGATTGCCTTAGAATAATTAACTCCCCACCCCTAACTCCTTCTTTGTTCCTATGTGTGGTTGAGAAGCACTGGTTAGCCTCAAGAAGCTTGCAGGCAGGCCCAAAAATCAGAAAGAGAGGCATGATGTAGGGAACTCTCAGTTAGCTGGAAACAGGTGAATTCCACGTGAACACATTGAGTCCAGGACATACAAGACAAGTCATCAGCAATATCTGCTATAGCCAGTATTCTTTTTCTTTTTAAGAACATATATACTTTCTGTTGGGGGTCCCCAAGTCCCCCTTTGGTTTAATGATTCACATAACTCAAGAAAGCTGATTTTTTCTGTGCTTATAGTTTCTAACAGTGAAATAAACCAGATTAAAACAATCAGAAGCATAAAAGCACATAAAGTTGAGTCCAGGACAAACCAGATATGAGCTTACAGGTGTCGTTTCATAGTGGGGACTTCACACTGACTAATTTTCTTTACAATGGTGTGAGACAACATGTGTGAACTTCTTGCCAACTAGGGAAGCTCAGTCAGTCTTGAGTCCAGGGTTTTTATTAGGATTCCACCACATATGCATCGAGCGTCCCGTGACTGAACTTAGCTATTTAGTTCCCAACCTCCCTATGCCCTAAGAGAGGTCATATTAATATGGCATTACACAAAGTCATAGGCATACAGAAAAAGGTGCTCACAAGAAATCACGTTGTTAGCATCAGTTATTTGATATGACCTACGTTTTCAGGTATACAAAGATTCTCATCAGGCAGCATATACCAAGGGCTCATAGGTTATCATCTCCCAGGAGATTCTCAAGGGACAGTCCTGAAGACCTTTGGAATGCGCAAGGTTTTGGAAAGCCATGTCTGCAGAATTAACCCTTCATTACACAACCTCCAAGAACTTTTTTATCTTTAAAAATGTTTTTTGATCTTTGACAATGTACCAACCAATACTGAGTAATTAGTAACAACAGTGTACTCCTGAGTACTTGCACCTGCAAGGAGAAAAAGGACAGATGCACTTACATAGGAAAGATGCAAATAGACACCACTATGACAAGTAAAGCTACAATAATCAATAAATTCCTAAAGACAAAGTGGGGCTGGTGAGATTGGGAGATGGCTGACAGCTGCAGAAGTTGGGAAAGATCCATCATCTTGAAAACTTTTTCCCCACAAACCCACTGTGATCTCTCAAGCAATTGGTAAGGAATCCAAGAGAGTCTGTATATGACACAGATCAGGGAGAGCAGAACACTTGGGAGGTGACGAGGTCTTGGGGGCCGAGCCCTTATGAATGGGATTAGTGCCTTTTTAAAAGAAGCTCAACGGAGTTCTTGTGTGCCTCCCACTATGTGACGACATAGAAAGAAGGCACCATCTATGAACCATGAAATGGGCTCTCATCAACACTGAATTTGTAAGCATCTTGGCCTGAGAACTTACAGCCTCAAGAAGTGTGAAAAAAGAAATATCTGTTGTTTTTTAGTCACCCAGTTTATGTTCTTTTGTTATAAGAGTCCAAATAGACCAAGATATTCCGCTTAATATGTAGGGGAAGACAACAAAAACGGCCACACTTAGAATACTCCTGATGCTGGGAGTATGAAAACAGGAAAAACAAGAAAAAACTGCTCTTGAAGGTGAAGGAGGACTATCACTGAGCTCACCAACACAGCCAGGAAAATAACAGAAGTGTGAGAAGGCTACATTCCTGAGACCCTGAGAAAAATTACCTGCATAAGACTGAGATCAAATTACCTACTCTAGTTATGATTGAAATCCCAAAAAGAAAAGAGGGAAAAATAATGGAGCAAAAGAAATATTTTTCAAAATAACTGCCAAAAATATTCTAAAATAAGTGATGGAAAATCCAACTTCAGATATAGGAAACTCAGAGAATGTCAAATAGAACAAAAAGAAATAAGAATTACATCTTGAAAAATCTTTAAAATATCAAGTCTAAATTTTATATCTTGCTCCAAATATATAGAGATATAAATAGGTTATCATCACGATATGGAGAAAGCCATATCATGGAAACACTAAAATAAGGCTTTGGAAGGACTACACTGATATTAGACACAACAGAGTTTGGAACAAGAAATAGTATCAGAGATGAGAGATAATAGATAATAGAATAGTCAATTCTCAAGAAGATGTAAACATCCTACTAATTAGGGTATGCAGCTAACAACAGAACCTCCAAGTACATGAGGCAAAACGGAAAGAAATCAAAGGTGAACTACAAAAATCCAAAATTATATTTGCAGACTTCAACACTTTTGTCTTAGTAATGGAAACACTAGGCACAAACTCAGTAATCATGTGGAAGATAAGAACAACAATATCACCAACAAGACATCCAATCTTCATTGGCAGATACTCTTTCCTTTCAAGTGAAAAAAAAAAAAAACAGTATGGCATATTCTTTAACAAACCCAGAATTTCTAATATTTGCGTTTTTCCTTCTTTCTTTCCATCTTCCTTTCTCTTCTCTTCCCTTCCCTTACCTTCTTCCTTCCTTTCTTCTTTTCCTCTTCCTTTTCTTTTCTTTTTTGTTTTCCTTTCTTTCTTTTCTTTCTTTTTTCTCCTTCCTTCCTTCTTTCCTTTTCTTTCTTTCCTCTTATTCTTCCTTCCCTCCTCCCTCTCTTCATTTCTCCCTCCCTTTTCTTCCTTCTTTTCTCATATTCTTTCTTTCTTTCTCACGTTCGTCCTTTCTTTCCTTTTTTCTCCCTTCCTCCCGCCCTCCTTTTCTTCTTTCCTCCCTCCCTTCCTTTCCTCTTTTTCCTTCCTTCCTTTGCCTCTTTATTTTCTTTGTCTCTTTTCCTTCCTCCCTTTTACCATTCTCTCTTCCTCCTTTCCTTCCTCCCTTCCTCCTTTCTTTCTTTCTTTCTCTCTGTCTTTCTCTTTCTTTCTTTCTTTCTTTCTTGTGTTCATTCTTTCTTTTTTCTCCCTTCCTGCCTTTCTCCCTTCCCTCCCTCCCTTCCTTCCCTCATTTCCTCCTTCATTTCTTTCTTCTTTCTTTCTTTGTTTCCTTCCTTCCTTCTTTCCTTCCTTCTTTTTCTTTCTTTGTTTTCTTTTCTTTCTTTCTCTTTACTACAATTCATAATATTTTAAAAAATTAAGAGAGGGAGACAGAAAAATAAAGAATGCTTTAATCTGCAGGTAAACAGATTATGTCTGCTGTAGGCAAAAGAATGGCCTCCCAAAAAATTTCATGTCCTAATTCCCAGAGTCTAACATACAAATATGTTAGGTTGCACGGCAGTGTGAAATTAGATTTCAAGTGAAATTAAGGTTGCGGAAAAATGATAGAGAGATTGTCTTAAATGGGTGGGATCAATGAAATGACAAAATTCCTTATAAGTGAAAGAAGAAGGCAGAAGAAAGGCAACCTTGGAGGTGGTGGCATGAGAAATTACTCAACATCACTGACTTTTAACATACAAGAATGAGGACCCAGCATGGTGGCTCATGCCTAATCCCAGCACTTTGGGAGGCTGGGATGGGTTTATCACGAGGTCAGGAGATCGAGACCATCCTGGTTAACATGGTGAAACCCCATCCCTACTAAAAATACAAAAAATTAACTGGGCATGTTGGCAAGTGCCTGTAGTCCAAGATACTCAGGAAGCTGAGGCAGAAGAATCACTTGAACCCGGGAGGCAGAGGTTGCAGTGAGCTGAGATCATGCCACTGCACTCCAGCCTGGGTGACAGAAGGAGACTCCATCTCAAAAAAAAATAAAAAAGAAAAATAGGATATAAGAATGAGGTCATGTTCCAAGGAATAAAGGTGGCCTCCGGATGCTGAAAAAAATCAAGTAATAAATTCTGCCACATAGCCCACAGAAAGAATGCAGCCCTGTCCAAAACTTGATGTTAGCCCAGTGAGTTTCATTTAAGGCTTCTGAACTACAGAACTGTAGGATTAACGGTCACTTTATTATAAGATATGAAGTTTGTGGTAATTGGTTACAGCAGCAAGAGGAAGTTTATATTGTAATTGTATCATGAAAATGAGAACCATAATTTAGAACTGCTTTGAATACTGCACTTGGATGTTTGCAATCACGTACATGGAAATGATCTCTATGTGCATGAGGGAGGATAGCAAATTGATGCCAAAAAATGCAAATGCAAATCTTACACGCATATCTATGTAGATTTCATTTAATCTTTGAAATTAAAATGAAGTTAAAAGATTGTGATATTTTGATGAAATTAGACTAAAATGAACAATAACAAAACAAGAACTTACTTATATTCTTTATATGGTCAATAAAGAAGTGATTGATAGTGGAAAAAAACAAGATCAAATGAAGGTGATGATTTAGGAAGTTGGAAAGATAGCTGAAACTACAAAATGGTATATAATCAGTGACACTTAGACACACTGATTGTTGAACTTCAGCTTTCGGCTTGGTGAGAGCATAAAATGAGAGCAGCTGAGGTTTGCAAATTTGTAATCTCCTTGTGGAAAACCAGGGGAAAACACATCTCAGCCTAATAAGATTTATCTACTAAAGAATCTAGACTTGATCCATTTGTCCTTGTAATTCAAAAGCTAATTCAAATAATGAGCTGATGTATTGTGTGAACAACCATTGCTGATTATCATCGCATACCTGGCATTCTCTTTTATCTGATATCTAAAATATTTGGTAATTCCTGGACTTCCTTTTTTCAAACCCAGTACGGTTTAATTTGAGTCTTAGAACAGTTGTCTTTGAGAAATTCTTCCCTCTACTGCATCTGTGAATGGGCATAGCATGGTTACATACATACTCTCACTCCATAGAACATTTGTTACACTAAAGCCAAAGTTTAAAGCAAGAGCTTTATCTTACTGGTTTTACTAATGATTTCCTCCCAAATACCCACAACAATATTGATACTCTCACACCTCTCAACATAAAGCTTGGTGTTGTCTATTTTTCAGGTGCTGTCATCTATATGATCTCAGTATTTTAAAAATCAGCTTCCAGCCCATATGGTGGTTCATGCTTGTAATACCAGCAGTTGAAGAGGCTCAAATGAGAGGGTTCCTTGAGCCCAGGAGTTCAAAACCAACCTGGGCAACATAGCAAGACCCAGTCTCTATCAAAAGTTAAAAAAAAAAATGTGGGCATGGTGATGTGCACTTGTTGTCCTAGCTATTTGGGAGGCCAAGGTGGAAGGATGGCTTGAACTTGGGAGGCTGAGGTTGCAGTGAGCAGTTATTGCACCACTACATTCCAGCCTGGGCAAAAAAGCAAGACCCTAACTCAAGAAATATATATAATAGAAATAAAAATCAGCTCTCATTGATTTCTATGTAAATATGCACACTTGATGTCCATATAGACATAAATAATAATATTTCTGACAATGGGTCCATATGATCTTCAAAATGTAAAATGCCTATCTGTGTAATTGACTGGTCAATCTCATTAATGAATATAGATTCAATTCTACTTTCTTGTTCTACATAAATTATATAATCTAGCTTTCATTTCACTTATTTACTGATAACAACAGGAAGAATGACAAGATATCTATTTTGGAAAATTACTCTGGTAGGAGTAAAGATGAAACAATGATAGAATTGCAAGGAAAACTAGAAAAAAGTATGGTCTTCTGATATTCTATCACATCACATACTAAAGGCCTCATAAAACTCAGATATTTTATCTAAAAATGTTATTTTCCTCATAGGAATAATCAAATCATGAGACTACAATTGTATTAAAATGTGCTTGTATCACAAGCACAGGTGCTAAAAAGGAGGGGAAAACATCATTACTGATATCTTCAATGTATGTTTTACTTTCCATCAACATGAACCTCAACTTGATATGATGCAGATTGAAGGAAATCACCCATAATTCCCTATGAAGAAGGCCTGTGATACTTTATGGGAAAAAAAAATAGAGAAAATGCTAACAGAAACCCTATTAAGCATGAAGCTTTACGGAGCAAACACAAATCCAGTGGTGAAAGATACACACTCGAGTTCTGTTTGTTGTCTTGGAACAATACGGTTTAGAGGTGACTGTCAGGTGAGGAGAACATATGCGAGTTCACCAAAGAGAAAAGCGAAATAAGGCAATGCCTCTTCTTGACCATATCTCTTACTCAGATAGCTATATAATTTATTGTCCAGTAAAGGGTATATTTAAAAATCATATTAAAAGTCATGCAGTGAAGTTGTCCAGGGAAATCAAAACTTAACAGTCTCACTCTGAAAATAATGAACAGGGGGGTTCCCTCAAGATAGACTAGGACATGACCCCACACTGGCAGGTAGTAGTACCAGAAAAGAACCCATGGAAAATCTTTACCTTATGCTTGAGGTACGGACCAGGCTAAAGTGAAAGCCAGACATAAAATTCTATCTAAAATAAATCCACCATTGAAGAAAATATGTGGTGTACAGGCATAGAATGTCTTTACCGGATCATTGAAATAGTAAGATAAATTCAACTTTTTACATTTTTTTCTTTTCCTCCAGTTAGGGCTTGAGGTTTGTCTCTGGAGAGTGACTGTCAATTGGAGCCCTTCCTTTCTGGGGTTCTGGTAAGGGGGTTGTGGATGCTTAACATGTGCCTTTCACAGGACACTTCCTTACCCCAGCAGTGGCCAGGTGTGCATCCCACGACCAGGCCTCCCTCTCACAGAACTGTTGAGACTAGGAGATGCCTGGTGACTGTTGCCTGACCTGTGTCCTGTGTATTTGTGACAAGAGCCACTCTCAGAGACCTTGGCCAGGAGGACAGTTAGGTTCCAGTATAGGTCAGCTCAAACCCATGGAGGCCACAGAACCAAACATGGGAAATCACAGAAGTAGGTTTATTACTCACAGATCCAGAGAAAAGAGAGTAGCTGAGAAGAGGGTTTAGCTGTGTCCCCAGCCAAATCTCATCTTGAATTCCCACATGTTGTGGGAGGGAACAGGTGGGAGGTAATTGAATCATGGGGGCAGGTCTTTCCCATGCTGTTCTTCTGATAGTGAATAAGTCTCACAAGATCTGATGGTTTTATAAAGGGGAGTTTCCCTGCACAAGCTCTCTTGTCTTGTCTGCTGCCATGTGAGACATGCCTTTCACCTTGCGCCATGATTGTGAGGCCTACCCAGCCATGTGGAACTGTGCGTCTATTAAACCTCTTTCTTCTGGAAATTACCCAGTCTTGGGCATGTCTTCACCAGCGGTGTGGAAATGGACTAATACAGTAGCACACCTCATAGGGCTGAACAAAATGGGGAAGATGAGTGGGGAGCAGGAGAGAGAAAAGGGGTCTGTGGGACTCCAGCCTTTATTGGGCCCAGAACATTACCCAAATAAGTTTTCCACGGGGCACTAGTCAGTGGGGTGAGTGCCAGCAGGCACATTTCTTGACTCCTGCTGCAACCGAGCAGGTCACTCTGGCGTGTGGGGTCTGTCCATGTGCGCTGTGAGCTCTGTGGGGTGAGTCAGGTAGGTTGTATCCAACGGTTCCATAGCTGGTAGTCACCAGGAGGGGGCAACTGTGTAGGGTCAATATCTGGGCCAGCCTCACTGAGGAACAGTGAGGGTTAGAACTGGAAATTGTCAAGGGAATGTGAACCCAGCTACCATATGAGAGAGTTCAACTTATGTTCAATGTGAATGCCATGGCAATTTTAAAAGGTAAGAATTCGCTCCATACGTGCTTCAGGTAAATAGGACAAACCTAGAATTTATGTAAACAGTGAGAAGATTGGATGCATTTTCCATCACATATTTTAATACTAACAGCTTATTATATACGTCAATCTATCAGGCATTCAGAAATACATGCTTATGAAAATTTTTTGCACCATCAGACAAAAGACAAGGGTAGAAGACATTTGTAACCCTATAAACACTAGTAAATTAAAAACAGAAGGACCTTTATGTCCTAACGTATGTGTGTTGTGAAAGGCTGCCCTGTGAAATACGGGATTTCTTCAACATATTTTAAAAATCATAAGTGTCAATATATTTTAGAAATCCACTTAAATTTTCTCTTGTTATTTTTCAATGCCTATTTATTTATTTATTGGCTCTGCTGATTTTGATGTATATCCTAAACTTTACATTTTCTTTAAAGGATGTTTTATACAGCTTTATGTACAATATTTCAATATCTTCACATTCTCTCCCTGTCCTTTTGTTTTGCTCTTATATGGTGGTCTTGAGTCTTTTCTCTGGCTTTTCAAACCTAGTAAGGCTAAGACACTAAAGTAACTTTGCCCGTGGTTTGGTAATGCCTTCTAAAGCACATCCTAAGCTCTCGTGCATACAGGGGTCTCCTTTGAGCTCTGTGCTTTTGAGATCCCATATACCTAAATTCCAGTACTCCAAATCAGTACTACTCAGTTTTAGTTACTAAGTTTAAAAATGTATTTTAATAGCAAGTTAGTTTAGTGCACTCTTGCTTCTTTCTTGACTGCTTGTATACATGTATATTCCTTTAAATGAATCTTGGAATTTATTTAAAAATTTTAAATTATACTAATGAAACTTTATATTGTTGTGAATTCATAAGTGAATTTGGAAAGAATTTGTCTTTATGATACTAAATCCTTTTTATCCAAGAATCATATGTGTCTTTATATTTATTCCAGTCTATATTTATATCACTGAGTAAATATATAGAAATGTAGATACATACAGCTGTAGTTATAGATACAAATATAGATATAACATGTTAAATCTATATCTATCCCATATAACATATATACATAATATATGTGTGTGTGTGTGTATATATATATATATGTTTATGTTATTAAAGAGCTCCCTTAAAATTTTTCCTTTATTTCCTATATAATTTTAGGTTGAGCTTCAATTTTCCTTGTATAAGCAAGCAAATATTTATACTAGTTTTAATACTGAAGTTTAGATCTTGTGTCTTATTTTAGCATTGAATATTTGCACAATTATAAATATTATCTAATATTAATAATGTACCTGTTAAAAATATTTAAAATTTTACCTTGAATTATTTTATTGTTGAATTAAATTTCCTTTAATATGATATTAAATTTCTATTTTATGCTTTTTCTATGCATATGCAAATTAATCTATCCACTTATCTATCTCCATGTAGTAACATGAAAATCAGGCCTCTCTTCTTCTAATGGACATACTCATGTTTGCATATAGAATATCAGACTCTTTATAGCATTTAAAATCTTTAAAGACATGAATATTGCCTTTTAACAAATATATTTTAGCATGTACTGAGAATCCCCTATTTATTTTTAATTTGGACTAATCAATGTGATTATTAATATTATTGGATTACCAAATTTGGAAACACACTTTCATCCCCAAGGCGGATATTTGTTTTATTTTTTTTTTTTGCCAATTTATTGTCTTACTGTTTCAAACATTATTGGATATTATTTTAATTTTATTTGACATTTTAGTATCAACATTTTTAATTGATGTACTCTACATATTTTTTCTTCAATATCTGGTGGGTTTTATAATTACGGCTATAATGGATTTGTAGTAGACATTGACAAAAATTATTCTTGTATGTTTTACAGCTGTATGAAGGAAACTAATATATTTTACCCCTAAATATATTTCCTTGATAAATTTCAAAATGGCTATTGAGAAGGGCTGGAAATGCAAACTTAGCTGCAAAGCTGTCTTGGGGAGATTTGCATCAGTAGAGAATCTGCCTTGATGCAGCCAGGCTTTCTCTGAGGTCTGCCCCCTTGTCTGGATCTAGGAAAGCTTAACTGAGAGTCTGAGGTCTCCAAAGGTCTGAAAGAAACATTTTCTGTCTATTCTCTCTGAGGACTGCTCCCCGTGAGTTTCCACCTATGTAATAAGTCCACTTTTGCTAGCCAGGGTCGTTTTCTCACATAACCTTTTTTTTTTCCCTGTGATCCAAGACCCCATTCTTTCTGTAAACTTCATGTGGTAGATAAGCTTCTGCACGCATCGTGTGTCTGGGTCTTCGTTCTAAGGGCTCCAGTGTACACACATTGCAGAAACCTGTATGCCTTTTCTATTATTTGTCTGCCTCCTAATAGTGATTTTCAGGGAAGCTTCAGAGGCTAAAGGGACATTCTCCTTTAGCCCATTCTCAGACAAAATCCCCCAACATTTAACTGATTCCTAATACTTAAAATCACTTTGACAAAGCCATATATTTATAACCTTTTCTTCCCTCTATGATTTCTGGTCAGCTTGGGTTTTGGTTTTCATTCCATTTACTTCATCCTGGAAAAGATCTATTTTATGTCTGTTTACTCTCATTTATGGGTATTGAGAAAAGAAAATAACTTTCATGTGAGAAATGCAAGTCCTTTTAAATAATCAGGCCCAGAGAGATATTCAAATGAGACAGCAGTTCTGTCCTGCTCCGCTTTGAGCTGTGTGTTAATCTAGGCTGCTTGCTGTTGCCACAGTAGCTATAAATTAACCAATAACGCCACACCAGATACTATATTCCACACCCAATAATAGTGTAACAGTGTATAGCCAGTCACTAATAAATGTTATTTCCATAAGCCAATGAGAATTTGTGACAAACCTGTTTGCATCGTCCCACTTCTGGACCCCTTTTTGCCTTTAAGGATCTGCTTGTTGCAAAGCTCCAAAGGGAGTTCATATCCAAGTATACTTGGGTCTGTTTCTTCCAGGCAGCTGTCCTCATTGTGGCTCAAGTAAACTCTTTGAATTATGTTTTGTGCTTCAGCCCCTTCCACTTACATTAACAACATGGATTTGTGTCATCATGTACAGCAATTAAAATGTTTACACTTTTCCCCTCGAGGGCACTTATGTGTTTTCCTGAGCACTTGGAATAGCTACGTAGTGTTTACTGCCTAGATTATGGTTTCTCAACCTTGGTGCTACTTACCTTTAGGACCGGAGGATTCTTTGTTGTGGGAGGCTGCCCTAGCAATGCTAGGTGTTTCGTTCGACCTCTAAATTTCACACCTCCACCAGTCTTGACATCCCCACAATAACCCTAGACATTGACAAATGTCTCCTGGGGAAAACTCTCCACCAGTTGACAGCCAAAGTTCTGGAAATATTGGAATTGTCAATTGAGATTTCATGTTATCCAAAACAAATACTTTTCTTTGTTTTTAAACATCTACTTCCATCTACTTATCTACTTATTTTTACTTTTATTTGTAATTTAATTCCATCAAGGAGAGAGAGTGCATTTTCTGTTATGCTAAATTTTTGAAGAATGTATTGATTTTTTATGACCTGATATATGGATGTTATGTAGATATTACATGTTTGTATTATCAAATTTCAGGGCGATAAGAAAATAAATACTTATAATATTTATATTGTCACTGTATATTAGTTATTTTCTTTCTTCACTACAGGAGTTTTTCAACCTATAGGCTATTTTTCAATTCTAGGTTATCCAGTAGATTTTGAAATGTTATGATTTAATATCTACTTCTCAAGCATTCATCTTTGCAAATGAAACAATCCCAAGCTCTTATAATACACATCATATAAAGGGCAGATTAGTCAATATATGGTTCAGAAATAATTATGTAATATTTATAAGAAAATTAAAAATTTAGATCCTTAACTCAGATAACAATAATGCAAATTAAAATTTGATTTCATTACATAATTTAAAATGACACCAGAATACTAGTAAAAATGTAGATAAGTTTATATAATCTTTTTTAGCTGTAGGACTTTATTAGCATAAATTCAAATAGAGGAACCAAAGTAAGATTGAGACCTGTAGTCAAAGGTTAAAATGTACACATTATAGGGGCATGATTAAACTAATTTAAAGCATGATAACATGGAGAAATATTGCAAAATATACATTTGACTGAATTAATTGTTAATACCTAATCATTATGTGAGAACACAATTAAAGAGTAGCTACACACGCACACACCCACACGCAAGTGCAATATTGTCAAATAAACGATGTTCAGCTACACTAGAAATCACACCTGTGTTTTCTCCACAGAAAAGATTAAAAAGCACAATAATATTTATTGTACATATGGAGGTAAAGATACTCAAAAGATTACCCTAAAATACATTTTTTTTGAGATGGAGTTTTGCTCTTTTTGCCCAGGCTAGAGTGCAATGGCACAATCTTGGCTCACTGCAACCTCAGCCTCCCAGGGTCAAGTAATTCTCCTAGCTCAGCCTCCCAAGTAGCTGAGATTACAGGCATGCACCACCACACTAGGCTAATTTTTTGGATTTAGTAGAGACGTGGTTTCACCATGTTGGTCAGGCTGGTCTCCAACTCCTGACTTCAGGTGATCTTCCCACTTCAGCCTCCTAAAGTGCTTGGATTACAGGCGTGCGCCTGGCCAGCTTTTTGACATATTTCAAGATGGCTACTCGGAAGACTGGAGATAGCTTCTTCTACAAGAATAGCTGGTTTATTGGGGAGATTTGCATTTGTAGAGAAAATCTGCATTGATATAGACAGGCTTTCCCTGAGATACTCCCTTGTCTGGATTTAGGAAAGATTAAGTGAGCCTGGCACGTTTACATTTTTAAAAACCTTTTCCTATCTATACTTCCCAAGAGGAGGGCTGCTCCCTGTGAGGTTTCATCCATGTAACAAGCCCACCTCTGCTGCCAGGCTCCTCTTTCTTCCTTGTCATCACCTTTCTTCCGCAAAGCCTGATTTACCAACCTACAGCTCTGTGTTTTCTGTAACTTCAAGACAGCATAGGCGTGTTGACTACCTTGCCTTTCCTGGAGTTTTTATATGTATAGTATATATTTGTACATCTGTGTATAATATACTATTATTTGTATAGATATATTTCTATATATTATGTGAACTCCAAGTGCACACTTGTGCACATATCTGTAAACCTTTTTTTCTGTTAATTTGTACATTATCAGTTTGTTTTATAGACTCAAATAATTAAAGCTTCAAGGGAAAAATTTAAACTTTCCTATAGAGAAAAGACAAATATATAGGTGACAAATAATATTTAGAGTGTAAGACGCTTTTTAAAGGTATATTTGCAATTTGTGTCAAAACATTTAAATATACATTTGTTATTTTAACTATAAAATTTCAAATAATTTAAGCCAAATACATAGTATATGCAGAAAATTTAGCAATATATCTATGTAGCACCTTACTGTGCATTACTGTAACCAGCCGTCTAATATAAAGAATTAAGGTAGCAGCTACTTTTCAAAGAGTGCATTTTTTTCACAGACCTACTAAATAAGACAAATAACATTTAAACTTTATTTTTAAATTTGCAGAATAGTAGTTTTCAGCGGATGGTTTATTTTAGCAAATTCCATCTTCACATTGTGCTATGCTTTTATGAGTTCCAGCTGTTAACGGATCATATTTTACTGCTGAAACTATCATGTGTGATATAATTGCTCATTATGTGCCTTAAAACACAAGCAATATAATTATTTTCAACTTGGAGCAAATTAAAATCTTATCAGCAATTTAAAATCTCTAGAGTCGACTTCTCCTGGTTAATTATTTTAAACTTGTATTTTTATCTTTATGTTTTTAGTGAGTTGTCTTATCAAGGAGAAGAACTCAAGCTGATTATTCTTTTTTTCTCTTCCATCCACCTCGCAGGTGTGTTAATAATTTCATTTCTCAGAAAATATTCTTTCATATCCATCTTACAAGATGAGAGACCTTTCAACATCTTCCATTCAGATGTGATACCAGTAATGGAAAATATTCCAGCTTCATGAATATGGTGATACAAATAGTTATCCGTCTAACCTCTTTCAGTGCCAAATGTTTACTTTACTCAGTGAATTACTCAGTTGACTGGTAATTTCTTCTGAAATCACTAATGAGAGGATCAGAGGTCTGGCTGTTGTCTGTACCACATATGACTCCCAGTGCAGACAATTGTTTCTATGGAGCACAGACAGTTGAAAGGATTGACTTCCTGCCTAGAATACTTTCTGCTGTGCTTCGTATCCTTCTTGTGGAGATTTCAGATTATCTGAATTGCTTTTCTATCTTGAGAAAAAACGCAACAATTCTTCCACCTGAGAGGAATGTAAACTGTAGTAACTTAGCGGAACCAATCCATAAAATTTTTACTTTGTTTCTTGCAAAAAGCAGCGCTGGTGTCTCCATCACTAACATTTTCTATCCCTCATTGCTCTTTGTTTGACTGCAATAGGATACCTCTAGGCAAATCTGTATTCCCGAGACAGAGTGCCCTTTTTGTGAGCTATAAGCACACTCAATGGTAGGCTGAAATACTGGCTTTTATGTATAGTGAAATGGAATCATATCAGTGATTTTTTTAAAAAGGAAATTTAACTCTTGCTATGGTTTGAATGCTTGCCCCTTCCAATCTCATGTTAAAATTTGATCCCCAATGTTGCAGGTGGGGCTTCCTGGGAGGTGTTTGTTCATGGGGTTGGACCTTCATGAATGGATAATACCCTCCTTTAGAAATCTAAAGCTATCCTCCCTCCTTGGTGCCCTCAGGAATGAGTGTACCATTCTTTATTCACCTATAATTCCCCCACCCATCCTTTTTGAGATATTAATTACATGTATGTTACACTGCTGCATATTGGCTGAGGTATCAGTGAGTTTCTGGCTTTCTTATTTTAGTTTACCCTTTGTCCTTTAGTTTGTAAAGCTTCTATATTTTCTATAAATTTTCTGATGTTAGGGTAAAATCCATTACTTATTCTATCTCATGGAATTTTTATTTCAAATATTTATTTTTCATCTATACATGTCACATTTCTCATTTTATAACTTCTATTTTTCTCCTAGGTTCAATTTTCTTTTAAGTATCTTGACATATATATGTATTTATCTATATGTATTTATAAAATATATTTACTTTAAGGACCTTTAAATTTCCTTCTTTTCCGTCATTTATAAATGACTTATTTTTTTCCTGTTAATATATATCTTAATTATATATATCTTACGGCTTCTTTGCATGTCAGAGTTTTTTTTGGGGTATTTTGATGTTATGCTATTGAATATCTGATTTCATTGGCTAACTTTGAACAATGTTGTGGCAGGCAGTTCAGTAACTTCAGGATGAGTATTTGTCTGTTGTTGCTTTAAATCTTCTCTTTAAACTTTGTGGAGTTAGTATAGAGCCATCGGTCATTTGGAGCTAAATGAGCACTGTCACTAAGGCATGAACCTCCAGTGGTCTTTACTGAATATCCTGGAGGTACAGAGGGGATTCCCTTCTCTAATTAGAATTTGGAATATGAAGAGAAAAGAGAAAAATAGAAAGCTATGCATAAACATGTGCATTCATATGAATTTTATGTGGGCTTTTCCATGAAAATATTCCTAAGGTATTTTATTTTTTTATTGTGGTAAAATACACATAACATAAAACGTACTGTCAACCATTTTATGTGTACAGTTCAGTGGTACTAAATATAGTCATAATATTCTGCAGCCGTCCCTACGATCCAATTCCATAATTCGTTTCATCTTGTAAAACTGAAACTCTATACACATTAAACAATACTTCCCCATTTCTTCCTCCCCCCAGCTTCTGGCAACCATCATTGTACCATCTCTATAATGCTAATCAAGCATAGTGGCTGTGTTTCTTGCTTCCTCTAGTCCGCAGGTAGCATACAAATGTAATAAACTACTTATTCACGTCACATCTATTTATTTTCTGCACTATACCAAGCTGGTAGGTTTCTCTTAAATACAACATTTTTATACTTACACCTATGCAATACCCATTAGCATCGCCTTCCTAAATAAGGGGAAATTGAGCCTCTGTAATGTGGAGCAACTTCCTAAGATATAAAACTCAGCATTGAAGTCTGTATACTTCAATATCCTGCCCTCTTCTCATTTGTCTTTACTGCCTTTTATGTATGTGTTAGATGTTCAATAAATTCTCTTTTTTAAACTGAATTTAAGCCGTGGAGCAGTGTTTTGTTGAACAGTATATATGATATAGGACACACTTCCTCCCTTTCATTTATGATCCTGTTCATGAAAAAGAGAAATTCTTTCATTGTGCTAGAAGCTTAAAATAATGAAAATGCCACTTTTTACATTAAACAGAAATTGAAGGGAATCAAGGTGAATTGCATGAGACATAGAAAACAACTGGGAAATAAATCTAGTATAATTTGCCCTTTGTGTACCTTTATTATTTAGCGTTTGAGTAAATGATTCCCCCAAATATCTTCCCATCTTAATTCATGTCTCTAAAGGAGACATTCATGTCTCACCTTGTCAAGAAGGGCAAACTCTAACATAAACATTTCCCAAAAATGCTTCCTGCTAAAACGTAAGCTCAGTCTGGCTAGAAATGCAGCTCAGTTCATAAAGATTAATTGGTAGCTAACTTCGCATGCTGTTCTCTGAACTTGAGTGAAACCTGTCCATCAGGCATACAGGGAATGATGGAAAAGGTGACAACAGAAGATGAATGCTATGTCACTAACCTTCAAAGATGACCTGCCTTTTCTTTCAAATTCTTGATATCTTAAGACTTCATTAATTCATCTCTCTTTGCCCTTGGTTCAACAATGTGCTATGCCAAAACTCATGTAAAACAATGATCTAATGTAATAAAAATGGCATTTTTCTTTCATGTAGATGGAAGCTAACTGGCATTTTTACAATCTACATATTTCCTTTGTCAATTTTTCTTTCTGTATTGGAAGTAATTGATAGGTATTTCTGAAGGGATGAAGGTGTTTCTGTGTTCATTGTGATCCAAACTATTTTTAGACCTAGGGGCTTTTGTAAAACAATTTGTGCCAGCTGACCAAGGATCACTGTGGCAGAAAGCAGCAAACTTGCATAAGATGTCACTGCCTCATAAGTTGGATTTGAATACTAGGGGCTTACTCTATGGGCTTATGAATCAAAGACATTGATAGATGTAGTATAAGATTACAATCATATTTTCTTTTTGACAGTCACATTATAAAGCATGATGCATTGCAACTAATCTCAATTAGCTGATCACAATTAAAATTAATAATGTTTATTATTGCTGATAAACAATCATGACTCTCCTGTTCTCAAATGTGCAAGTAATTCTTGTAATTTTAATACGAATTTGCATATTATTATTAATTGATTTAATCTCATTGGATTTGGTTCATGGATCCAATTTATTAAAATATTGATAATGGGATAATGACTTGTCTCTCCATTTCATGTACACTAAAAAATACAATTCTTACAACGGTCTGCAAGCCCATCATGATCTGCCGCATGTTAACTGCCAAAATTCTTTTATATCTTCCCCCTTGGTCTTACCAGTGGTCCTGGCCACCTCACTGTCCTCTGGACATGCCAACAGGTTGCTGCTATATGACCAAGACTCTAGTTAATTTCTTGCCTTGGAAAGATAGCCCTCCATATATCCATTGGTCAGCTCATTCAACTTTCTCAAGTCTTTACTGAAACTTCACATTCTCGATGAGGCCTATTCAGTATTTCAAACTGCCTCCCAGCTGCAACATTCCAAAACCCCTTACTCTTCTGTGTATTTCTGAAAGGATTTATTGAGATATAATTTACATAGTGTAGAGTGCACACATTCAAGTCTACAAGTCAGTGGCTTTTAGTATATGCACAGATAAGTGGCGCCATCATCACAAAGAATTTTAGAGCATTTTCATCACTTCAAAAAGAAACCCCACCTTCTCTAGCTGTTAACCTCCTATACACCCATCCCCTACTCAATCCTAAGCAACCACAAATCTGTTTTCTGTCTCTATAAATTTTCCTATTCTGTTTTCATCTAAATAGAATCATACAATAGGTGGTCTTTTCTGCCTAGCTTCATTCAGTTGGCATAATGCTGTCAAGGTTCAAGCACGAATCGGTACTTTATTTCTTTTTATAACTCTATAATATTCAATTTCATGGATAAAAAATTTTGTTTATCCAATAATATTTTTATTAACTTTTGAGTTGTGTTCAGCCTTTGGCTATTTTAAATACTGCTCCTAAAAATACTTGTGTACAATTTGTGTTTGAACACCTCTTTCCAATAATCTGTGTGTATACCTTGGAATAAATTTCTGGGTCATATGACAATTCTATGTTTAAAATATTTAGAAGCCATCACATTATTTTCCAAAGTGGCCAGTTCTAGCCATAGAGTATCTAACTGTGGTTTTGATTTGTAGTTTCCTGATGAGTGATGCTATTGAGTATCTTTTTATGGGATTATTGACCGTTCGTGTATGTTCTTGGGAAACACATCTATTCCTATCATTTATCAGTTTTGAGTTGGGATATTTGTTACTGAGTTAAAACAATTTTTCTATATTCAAGATACTTATATATACAGACATATAGTTTCGTGTTTTTCAACTATCTTCTCAAAATTTCTGAGCTGTCTTTTGACTTGCTTGGTTGTCCTTTGAAACACCAATATCTATAATTTTTAAGAAATTTTAAATATCGAATTTTTATTTTGTTTCTCGTGTTTTTGGTGTTACAGCTATTCCTTTGCTAGATCCAAAATACTGAAGAATTTCCCATTCACTTTATTCTAGCTCTCGCATGAGTGTCTTTAATTCATTTGAGTTAATATTTTTGTATGCTTTGGGGTAAGGGTTCCAATTTATTATTTTGCAAGTGGTGATCCACGTGTACGTTGTTGACCTAGTTTGTTCAAAGACTGTCTCTTCCTCATTGAATTGCACATGGCACCACTGTAAGAATCCATTGACTATAGACACATAGTTTTATATATGGACTCTGAATTCTCTTCCATCAATTTATATATTTTTCCTTCATCAGTATTCTGTTGTCTTGATTACTGATACTTTGCAGTAAGGTTTGGAGCATGGGGCTGTGAATTATCCTAATATGTTTTCTTTTTTCAAGATTATTTTTGCTATTTTGAGTTCCTGACTATTCCATGTGTATTTTAGAATCAGCTTGTCAGGTTCTAGACAAGAATCCCTGGGATACTTGCAGGGATTTCATCAAATCTGTAGTTCAAATTGTAAAGTACTACAATGTTAAATCTTCCAATTCATGGCTGTAAGATGTTTGCTAATTATTTAGATATTCTTTAAACAATAATTTTTAGTTTTCAGAGTAAACTCTTGTATCCCATTTTCCTAATTAATTATTATTTCTTTTTTTGATGCTATTTTAAATTGAAGTGTTTTCTTAATTTCATTTTGGGGTTTTCATTGTAGATGTGTGCAATTGATTTTTGTACATTTATCTTGTATGCTGTAATATTGCTGAAATAATTTACTAGTTCTATCGTTCAGTGGATTCCTTAAAATTTTCTCTATACAAGAATGTTATTTTCAAATAAAGTTTTATTTCTTCCTGTTCAATATGGATGACTCTTATTTTTTTAGTTGCCGATTTGCCCTGCATAAAATCTTTAGCACAGTGTTGACTAGAAGAGGTCAAATTATATATACTAGTCTTATCTCTGACCATGGCAGGAAAGCATCCTTTACCATTAAGTTGCATGCTTGCTGTTGTCTTTTCACAGGTGCCATGTATCTGGTGTAGAAAGTTCTCTATTCCTGGGTCATTGTGTTTTAATTTTTATTTTTAATCATTAAAGCATTTGGATTTTGTTAAAAGTCTTTTCAGAATCATCAATCGAGATGATCATGCAATTCTCGTTTCTTATTCTATGGATAAGATGTATTACCTTAATGGATTTTGGGCTGTTAAACCACCCTGGGATTACTTGTATAAATTTCACTTTGTCATAGTGTATAATTCTTTTATATGTTGCTAGATTTGATTTGTTAGTATTTTTTTTAGGAATTTTGCATTTATACTTATAGTATTTTTATTTTTCTATGCTATTTGGACTATTTTTTGTGTCAAGGTAACACTGGCCCCAAAGAATAAATTGGGCAGTGAATATTTCTCTCTTTTAAAAAAGCTAGTCAAGCATTAATAGCAATTATTCAACACTAACAAATATTATTATTATAAATTATTAATTTCTCTAATTTTTATTTTCTTCCTTCTGCTTGCTTTAGGTTTAGTTTGTTATTCTCTCCAGTGTTTTAATTTGGAAGGTCATCTTATCTCATCCTTTCATTTGTCTTTTCATTTTCTAAATAGTGTCTTTTTAGCATCAGGTGAGCTCCCAAGGTTGGTAGTACTCCATGTTTATTGCTGTACAACAATGACAGGTAATATGTCCTGATGACAATGGAAACTTAACATTCAAAATCTCCTAGATTCCACCTTATATGACATGTCTCTTCAATTGGTCCTAATTTCTACCTTTTCTCTATTATAAACCATGAGTACAATGGCATTCAATGAGTTCTGTGAGTCTTCCTAGTAAATTCTTGAAACTGAGGGTGTTCAGGGGAAACCCCTGAACTGGCAGTTGGTGTCAGAAGTGAGAATCGTCTTATATGGCCTCTTCCTTTGAACTTTGCAGCTGGACACAAACTCTGCACAATTTGGACCAGAAGTCTCGTGTTGACTTTGCAGCCTAAAGTATCCTGTAGTTTCTCTAACCCTCAATAAATTTGCTTTCATCAAATATTGTATTTGTTACCCCAAAATTACCATGACGTTTTTTTTCTCCAAATAACTAACATTGGGAGAAATAGCCAGCTGAGTCTGTAACTCAACAGAAACAAGTGATCCATATACCACATACCATATAAGTGGCCATTTCATTTTGCCTTCTGCCACCAAATCTTAGCAACCTCAACCATTGCCATGAGCCACAGTAGGCCTACCAGCTACAAACAAACAAGTATCTTTTAAAAATACTTCATACTCCCATTTGATAAATTTCCCAGCAAAGACATGCCTACTTTAACTCTATGCAACTGGCTCATATTCACGAAGTCTGTAGATATTATTCATGTAGTGTGAGAAAATCATCCCAGCGATGCCAGCACATTCTCCTTCCCATGATCTGCTTAGTTAGCAAACATATTCAGGCCATGGGTGAGAGATTTGTATTTCACCGTACAACAATTTTATGGAAGGCATTGAAACCTACCTTTAGCATTTTATTACAGTCACACATCACTGAATGATAGGTATACGTTCTGACAGATGTATCCATAGGCAATTTCATCATTTTGCAAACATCACAGAGACTATTACAAACACCTAGATTGTACAGCCTACCACGTCTAGGTTTTATGGCATAGCCTCTCTTTCCCAGGCTACAAAGCTGTGTACTACATTACTCTACTGAATACTGCAGGCAGTAAGAACACAGTGGTAATAGGTTATGTATGTAAACATACTTAAACGTAGAAAAGTATGTAAAAATATGTATTATAATCTCATGGGGCCACTTTTGTATATGTAATCCATCTTTGACTGAAATGTTATTATGCATGACATGACTCTATGACAAAAATAAAATAACACACTGTAAAAAATGTACACAGGTATCAAACATATTAATATTGTAAAAATAAAAATATTTATTAAGTGTAAGAATTTGTAAGGATCACAAAATGTTCACAGCTTATATTTTAGTACAGTTTCAAATGCCTAGTGCAATTACTATTTGTTTCTGTGTATATTTTAAGCATGTATATAATAAATATTTTTCAGGTTCAACAATATATATAAATCCAAGTGGCTCTTATAAATATTAGTTAAAATCAATTAGTAAATTTTATGTATATATACACACGTGTATCAGTCTGTATGCATGTATGTGCATGTAAAGGTAACTGTATGTGTGTGTAAATGTAACTGGATGCATCCTAATATTTACCCTTACCTACAACATTTCCAAGATTCATTTATTGTCTTTAGATGATGTGCATTTAAAGATTTACCAAATAAAACTCTAATCGTGGAAAATATCAAGATGTTATTAAATTCATCTTGTGCACATAATTGTTTCTTTAAATTTATATTTCTTGCAAAATTTGCAGTAATGTTCATGCAACAAATAATTTTCTAAATAAAAAATAAAAACATTTTCTCAGTCATTAATTCTTAATAATTATTTCTCCCCAATAGTTAATGTGAATTAATTCTTCTTTATTATATAATAATGTTGCCCTTCAGAGTTTTGAATCTTTTGCATGTTGTATACATTTCACTAACTAGAACAACTTCTGGAATATTGGCATTAATTAATGTCACTCAGTAATTAATGATTTCAAAGAAATTAAATACCATTCATTTTCTGAATCACAAGGGTACTTTGGCATCTAATTTAATCAAGCTCTTTGTATCATCATCTACACTTTAATTACTTAACAAACATTTCTCTGTGTGAGAAAGATTGAGCAGGTTATTGTGCTTTTTAAAGATGCAACTTTTGCTTAATCTCGAGATAGGCAATGCTCCCTATAAGGGACAAAGAGAAAAATGAAAGAGCAATGGAGATGTGACAGGCATGGAAAAAGAGAATACATTTGTAAAACAAATAGGCCCACAGATGATGATAATGAGGATCAAATCTTGAGATACTGACTCAGGTTATAACCGCACTGTACAATAGAGCAAATCATTGGTTAATTTTTTTACAAATGGAATTTAATTTAATTAAGATGAATACAGTGTTTTAAACAAGGCAGGTTATCTTAAAATAAAATAGTGGAATAAAGTCATAAAACCAATGTTAAAGTCATAAACATTTTTTAAAGAATTTTTTTCATGTAATTTTATTTTTTTTATTTAAAATCACCAAAATCAAAATAATTTTATCTTAATTAACAAATAGTCACCAGAAGTTAACTAATATTTACTTTATAATACTAGTTTTAAAAATTCTTAACTATATTTTTAATCATATACGCTTATACATAAAATAGACATAGGGTGTAAGTTTACATGTTCACAATATTATATTGTAATTGTTCCTCTGGAATGGAATGGAATCATTGAATGGAATTGAATGGAATCACCAATGAAGGGAATCGAATGGTATCATCGAATGGAATCGAATGGAGCCACTTTCATGTGGAATCCACAGGAATCACCAAATGTACTCTAATGGAATAATCATCTAATGGAATTGAGTGGAATCATTGAATGTACTTGAATGGAATCATCAAATGGAATTGAATGGAATCATAGATTGGAATCGAATGTAATCATCAATGAATGGGATCAAATGGAATCCTCGAATGGACTCGAGTGGAATCATCATCAAATGGATTCAAATGGAATCATTGAATATACTCGAATAGAATCATCATCGAATGGAAAAGAATGGAATCATCAAATGGACACGAATGGAAACATCGTCGAATTGAATCATATGGAATCATCAAAAGGAATCGAATGGAATCATCATCAAATGGAATCGAATGGAATCATCAAATGGAATCGAATGGAATCACCAACGAATTGAATCGAAAGGTATCATGGAATGGAATTGAAAGGAATCATCTGCAAGTTAAATCTAAAGGAATCAACGAATGGATTCTAATGGAATAATCATCGAATGGAATGCAGTGGAATCATCGAATGTACTTGAATGGAATCATCGAAGGGAACCGAATGGAATCATCATCGAATGGAATCAAATGGAATCATCAAATGGAATCGAATGGAATCGCCATCAAATGGAATCAAAAGGAATCATTGAATGGACTCGAATGGAATCATCATCGAAAAGAATAGAATGGAATCATCATTGAATTGGATCTAATGGAATCACCGTGGAATGGAGTTGAATGGAATCATTGAATGGACTCGAATGGAATCATCCTAGAATGGAATCAACTGGAATCATCAAATGTACTCGAATGGAATCATCATCGAATGAAACAGAATGGAATCATCAAATGCTACAGAATGGAATCACTGAATGGATTCAAATGGAATCATCATCGAATGGAATTGAATGGAATCATTGAAGGCACTCGAAAGGAATCATTGAATGGACTCGAAAGGAATCATCATCAAGTGGAATCGAATGGAATCATCGAACGGACTCAAAAGGAATCTTTGAATGGACTCGAATGGAATCATCATCAAATGGAATCTAATGGAATCACCTAATTAACTAGAATGGAGTCCACATCAAATGTAATCACAGGGAATCACTGAATGGACTTGAATGGAAACTTTGAATGGCCTCAAATTGCATCATCATTAAATGGAATCGAATGGAATTATTGAATGCACTCGAATGGAATCATCAAATGGACTCGAAAGCAATCATCATCGAGTGGAATTGAATGAAATCATCGAATGGACTCGAATGAAATCATCATCAAACAGAATCGAATGGAATCATCACATGAACTCGAATGGAATCATCATCAAATGGAATGGAATGGAATCATCGAATGGAATCGAATGCAATAATCATCGAAAGGAGTCAAATGGAAACATCATCAAATATAATCTAATGTAATCATCAACGAAGGGAATCGAAAGGAATCATGATTGAATGGAATCGAATAGAATCATCAAAAGGAGTCAAATCAAATCATAAAATGGACTCAAAAGGAATCATTACAGTATGGAATCGAATAGATTCTTTGCATGGACTCGAATGGAATCACCATGGAATAGAATCGAATGGAATCATTGAACGGAATTGAATGGAATCATCATTGAATGAAATCAAATGGAAACATTGAATGGACTCGAAAGAAATCATCAAGTGGAATCGAATGAAATCATGGAATGGACACGAATGGAATCATCATCAAATGGAATCGAATGGAATCATTGAAAGGACTCGAATGGAATCATCATAAAATGGAATCGAAAGGAAACATCGAATGGACTTGAATGGAATCATTGAATGGACTCGAATGGAATCATCATGGAATGGAATCGAATGGAGTAATCGAATGGACATGAATGGAATCATCGTCGAATGGAATCGAATGGAATAATCGAATGAAATCGAATGGATTCATCATCGAATGGAGTAAAATGGAAACATCATTGAATGGAATCGAAAGGAATTATCATCAAATGGAGTCGAATGGAATTATCATCTAATGGAATCAAATGGAATCATCAACGAATTCAACTGAATGGAGAAATCGAATGGAATCCGTTGGAATCTTCATCAAATTGAACCGAATGCAGTCATCATCAAATTGTATTGAATGGAATCGTCATCAAATGGAATCAAAAGGAATAATCATCGAGTGAAATTGAATGGAATCATCAAAAGGAATCAAACCAAATCATAAAATGGACTCGAAAGGAATCATTATAAAATGGAATCGAATAGATTCTTCACATGGACTCGAATGGAATCATCATGGAATGGAATCGAATGGAATCATCAAACGGAATTGAATGGAATCATCATTGAATGAAATCAAATGGAATCATTGAATGGACTCGAAAGAAATCATCAAGTGGAATCGAATGAAATCATGGAATGGACACGAATGGAATAATCATCGAACGGAATTGAATGGAATCATAGAATGGACTCGAATGGAATCATCATCAAATGTAATCAAAAGAAAACATCGAATGGACTTGAAAGGAATCATTGAATGGACTCTAATGGAATCATCATGGAATGGAATCAAATGGAAAAATCGAATGGACATGAATGGAATCATTATCGAATGGAATCGAATGGAATCATCGAATGAAATCGAAAGAAATCATCATCGAATGGAGTCTAATGGAAACATCATAGAATGGAATCGAAAGGAATCATCATCGAATGGAGTCGAATGGAATTATCATCTAATGGAATCGAATGGAATCATCAACGAATTCAATCGAATGGAGAAATCGAATGGAATCCGTTGGATTCTTCATCGAATTGAACCGAATGCAGTCATCATCGAATGGAATTGAATGGAATCATCATCGAATGGAATCGAAAGGAATCATCATCGAATCAAATGGAATGGTATCATCGAATGGAATATAATGGAATCATCATCGAAAGAAATCAAAAGGAATCATCAAATGGAATCTAACGGAATCATCTAATGGAATTGAATGGAATAATCATCGAATGGAATCGAATGGAATCATCGAATAGACTCGAATGGAATAACCGAATGGACTTGAATGAAATCATCAAATGGAATCGAACGGAATAATCGATTGGAATCGAATGGATTCATCATCAAATGGTATCGGATGGAATCAATGAAGGGACTCAAATGGAATCATCGAATGGACACGAATGGAATCATCAATGAATTGACACGAATGGAATCGAAAGGAATCATCATGGAATGGAATCGAATGGAATCATGATCGAATGGAATCGAATGGAATCATCATGGAATGGAATTGAATAGAATAATCATCGAATGGAATCGAATGGGATCATCAATGAATGGAGTCTAACTGAGTCATCGAATGGAGTCTTTGGAATCATCATCGAATGGAACTGAATGCAGTCAGCATCGAATGGAATCAAATGGTATCATCTAAAGGACTCCATGGAATCATCATCACATGGAACCAAATGGAATCATCTAATCGACATGAATGGAGTTATCTTTCAGTGGAATCGAATGGAATCATCGAATGCACTCAAATGGAATCATCATGGAATTGAATTGAAAGGAATCATTGAATGGACTTGAATGGAATCATTGAATGCACTCGAATGGAATCATCATCGAATGGACCCTAATGGAATCATCATTGAATGGAATCAAATGGAATCATCGAATGAAATCGAATGGAATCATCATTGAATGGAATTGAATGGAATCGTCGTTGAATGGAATTGAATGGAATCATCATCGAATGGAATCTAATGGAATCATCATTTAATGGAAACGAATGGAATCATCAACGAATGGAATGAAATGGAGAAATTGAATGGGATCCTTTGGAATCATCATCAGATTGAACCAAATGCAATCATCATCGAATGGAATCGAATGGAATCATCAAATGGATTAGAATGGAATCATCATCAAATGGAATTGAATGGAATCAATGAATGGACTCGAATGGAATGACCATCAAATGGAATCGAATGGAATGATCGAATGGACACAAATGGAATCATCGTTGAATGGAATCGAATTGAGTCATCAAATTGCATCCAATGGAATCATGATCGAATGGAATCTAATGGCATCATTGAATGGACTCGAATGGAATCATCGAGTGGACATGAGTGGAATCATCATAGAATGGAATCGAATGTATACATCGAATGGACTCAAATGGAATCATAATCAAATGGAATTGAGTTAAGTCATAATCGCATGGAAAGGAATGGAATCATCATCGAATGAAGTCTAATGGAATCATAATTTAATAGAATCAAAAGGAATCACAGAATTGAATCAAATGGAATGATCATCGAATGGAATTGAAGGGATTCATCGAATGGGATCGAATGGAGTCATCGAATGGGAATGAATGTAGTCATCGAATGGAATCACGTGGAGTCATCGAATGGATTCAAATGGAATCACTATCGAATGGAATCGAATGGAATCATCGAATGGAATCAAATGAAATCATCATCAGATGGAAACAAATGGAATCATCATTGAATGGACTCGAAAGGAATCATCGAATGGAGTCAGATGGAATCATTGATTGGAATCAAATAGAAGCATCGTAAGAAATCGAATGGAATCATCAATGAACGGACTCATATGGACTCATCATCGCATGGACTCGAATGGAATCATGGTCGAATGGAATCGGATGGAATCATCATCGAATGGAATCGAATGGAAACATCATGGAATTGAATCAAAGGGAATCATCATGGAATTGAATCGAATGCCTGATTATCGAATGGAATCGAAAGGAAACATCATCAAATGGAATCAAATGGAGCCATCGAATAGAATTGAATGGAATAGTCATCAAATGGAATCGAATGGAACCATTGAATGAAATCAAATGGAATAATCATTGAATGGAGTCGAACGGAATTATCAAATGGACTCGAATTGAATCATCAAATGGAATCTAGGGGAAGCATCATCGAATGGCATCGAATGGAATCATCAAATGGACTCAAATGGAATCACTGAATTGACTCGAATGAAATCATCGAATGGACTCTATTGGAATCATCATCGAATTGAATCGAATGGAATCCTCGAATAGAATCGAATGGAATCATTGAAGGGAATCGAATGGAATCATCATTGAAAGAAATCGAAGGGAATCATCAAGTGGAATTGAACGGAATCATCAAATGGAATTGAATGGAATCATCATCGAATGGTATCAAATGGAATCATCGAATGAACACGAATGGAATAATTGAATTGCTCGAATTGAATCATAGAATGGTATAGAATGGAATAATTGATTGTACTCTCATGGAATCATCATCAAATGGAATCTGATGGAATCAACGAAGGGGCTCGAATGGAATCATCGAATGGACTCGAAATGAATCATCATCGAATGGATTCTTAAGGAATCATCAAATGGCCTCAAATGGAATCATCATCGAAATGAATCTAATGAAATCATCATCGGATGGAATAGAATGGAATCATCACTAAATGGAATAGAATGGAATCATTGAATGGAATCCAATGGAATCATCAAATGTACTCGAATGGAATCATCTTTGAATGGAATCAAATGGAATCATCGAATGGAAACGAACGGAATCATCAATGAATGGAGTTGATTGAAATCATCTTCGAATGGAATCCAATGGTATCATCAATGAAGGGTATTGAATGGAATCATCATCGAATTGAATCTAATGGAATCAACAACGAATGGAATCGCATGGAATCATTGAATGAAATCCAATGGAATCATCATCAAATAGAAACAAATGGAACCATCGAATGGACTTGAATGGAATCATCATTGAATGGAATGTTATGGAATCATCGAATGGACTCCTATGGATTCATCATCAAATGAAATCGAATGCAATCATAGAACAGAATCGAATGGAATCATTATTGAATGGAATAGAATAGAATCATCGAATGGAATCAAATGGAATCATCAATGTATGGAATTGAATGGAATCATTTAATGGACTCGAATGGAATCTTCATTGAATGTAATCGAATGGAATCATCAAAAGGACTCGAATAGAATCATCATCAAATGGAATTGGATGGAATCAACGAAGGTACTAGAATGGAATCATTGAATGGTCTTGAATGGAATCATCATCGAATGGAATCGAATGGAATCATGGAATGGAATCGAATGGAATCATCATCACATGGAATCAAATGGAATCAGCATATGGAATTGAATGGAATCATCGAAAGACACCAAATGCAGTCATCCTCGAATGGAATCTAATGCAATCATTGAACGGACTTGAATGGATTCATCATCGAATGGAGTCGAATGGAATCATCGAATGGACTCGAATGCAATCATGGAATGGACTTGAATGGAATCATCATTTATTGGAATAGAATGGAATCATCGATTGGACAAGAACGGAACTATCATTGAATGGAATCAAATAGAGTCATCGAACGAACTCAAATGGAATCATAATCGAAGGGAATCGAATGGAATCATCAAATAGATTCGAATGGAATCATCATTGAATGGAATCATTTGGAATCGTTGAACGATCTCGAAATGAATCATAATCAAATGTTACTGAAAGAATCATCATCGAATGGAATCACATGGAATCATCGTCAAATGGAATCATACGGAATCATCATAGAATGGAATTGAATGGAATCATCAGTTGGACTTGAATGAATTTATCAAATGGACCAAAAGGGAATCGAACCGAATCAGCTTCGAATGGAATTGAATGCAATCATTGAAAGGACTCGAATCGAATCATCAAATGGACTCGAACGGAATCATTATAGAATGGAATTGAAAAGAGTCATCGGATGGACTTGAATGGAATCATCATTGAATGGAATCGATTGGAATCATCGAATGCACACGAATGGAATCATCATCGAATGGAATTGAATGGCATCATTGTATGGACTCAAAAGGAATCATCATGAAATGGAATCCATTGGAATCATCGCATATAATCGAATGGAATGATGGAGTGGAATCGAATGGAATCATCTTTGAATGGAATCGAATGGAATCAATGAATGGAATAGAAGGCAATCAGCATTGAATGGAATCGAATGGAATCATCGAATTGAATCAAATTTAATCACCATTGAATGGACTCAAATGGAATCATAATCGAATAGAATCAGAAGGAATAATCGAATGGACTTGAATGGAATCATCAACGAATGGAATCAAATGGAATCATAGAATAGAATCGAATGGAATCAACATCAAATGTAGTTAAATGGAATCATCAAATGGAATCGAATGGAATCATCATCGAATGGAATCAAATAGAAACAGTGAACGAAATCGAATGGAATCAACATCGAATGTAATCGAATGTAATCACAGAATGGTATCTAATGGAATCATCATTGAATGGAATAGAATGGAATCATCTAATTTACATGAACGGAATCATTATCGAATGGAATAGAATGGAATCATCATCTATTGGACACAAATGGAATCATCTATTGGACACAAATGGAATCATCATTGAATGGAATAGAACAAAATCATCATTGAATGGTAACCAAAGTAACCATCAAATGGATCCCAATGGAATCACCTTAGAATTGAATAGAATGGAATCATCATCGAATGGAATTGAATGGAATCATCTAAAGGACTGCAATAGAAACACCATCGAATGGAATCATCTATTGTACTCGAATGGAAACATCATAAAATGGAATCAAATGGGATCATCGAATGGACTCGAATGGAATCATCATCGAATGGAATCGAATGGAATCATCTAATGGACCCAAAAGGAGTCATCATCGAATGGAATTGAATGGAAACAACAAATGGACTCGAATGGAATCATCATCGAATATAATTGAAATAATCATCAAATGGATTCGAATGGAAACATCGAATGGACTCAAATGGAATCATCATTGAATGCAATCAAATGGAATCATTGAATGGACTCGAATGCAATGGTCTTCGAATGGAATCGAATGGAATCATGGAATGGAATCCAATGGAATCATCTTCGAATAGAATTGAATGGAATCATCGAATGGACTCGAATGGAGTCATCATCAAATGGAATTGAATGTAATCATCGAACAGAATCGAATGTAATCATCATCGAATCAAATCACATTGAATTATCAAATGGAATCGAATGGAATCATCATCAAATGGAATCGAATGGGATCATCGAATGGACTCGAATGGAATCATCATCGAATGGAATTGAATGGAATCATCTAATGGACCCAAAAGGAGTCATCATCGAATGGAATTGAATGGAAACAACAAATGGACTCGAATGGAATCATCATCGAATATAATTGAAATAATCATCAAATGGATTCGAATGGAAACATCGAATGGACTCAAATGGAATCATCATTGAATGCAATCAAATGGAATCATTGAATGGACTCGAATGCAATGGTCTTCGAATGGAATCGAATGGAATCATGGAATGGAATCCAATGGAATCATCTTCGAATAGAATTGAATGGAATCATCGAATGGACTCGAATGGAGTCATCATCAAATGGAATTGAATGTAATCATCGAACAGAATCGAATGTAATCATCATCGAATCAAATCACATTGAATTATCAAATGGAATCGAATGGAATCATCATCAAATGGAATCGAATGGAATCATCGAATGGACTCGAATGAAATCATCATCGAATGGAATGGAACCATCAAAAGGATTCGAATGGAATCATTATCAAATGAAAGAGAAAGGAATCATCGAATGGAATCATCATCGAAGGGAATTGAATGGAATGATCTAACAGACTCAAATGGAATCATTGTCGAATGGAATCGAAAGGAAACATCGAATAGACACGAATTGAATCATTATGGAATGGAATCGAGTGGAGTCATCATCAAATGGAATCGTATAGAATCCTCATCGAATGGAATTGAATATAATCATCGAATGAAATAGAATAGAATTATCTCCGAATGGAAACAAATAGAATCATCGAATGAAATCAAATGGAATCATCATCGAATGGAATCGAATGGAATCATCATCAAATGGAATCAAACAGAATCATCATCAAATGGAATGGAATGGAATGGAATCATCGAATGGACTCGAACGGAATCATCATTGAATGGAATCGAATCTAATCTTTGAATGGACTCAAATGGAATCTTGATCAAATGGAATCGAATGTAATCTTCGAATGCACTCGAATGGAATCATCGATGAATGCAATTGAAGGGAATCATCATCGAATGGAATCGAATGGAATCATCATCGAATGGAATCGAATGGAATACTCGAATGGAATAGAATTGAATCAACATCGAATGGAATCAAATAGAATCATCAAATGAAATCGAATGGAATCATCATCGAATGGAATTGAATGGAATCATCATCATCAAATGGAATCAAATCGAATCATCATCGAATTGAATCAAATTGAGTCATGAAAGAATGGAATCAAATGGAATCATCATTGGCAGGAATCGAATGGAGTAATCAGCGAATGGAATCGAATGGAATCATTGAATGGAATCTCATGTAATCATCATCAAATTGAACCCAGTGGAATCATTACATGAATTCGAATGGAATCATCGAATGAACTCAAATGGAATCATCATTGAATGGAACAGAATGGAATCATCAAACAGAATTAAATGCAGTCATCATCAAATGAAATCAAATGGAATCATCTAATGGTCTCGATTGGAATCATCATCAAATGGAATCAAAAGGAATCATTGAATGGACTTGAATGGAAACACAGAATGGACTCGAAAGAAATCATCATCAAATGGAATCAAATGGAATCATCGAATGGACACGAATGGAATCACCATCAAATGGAATCAAATGATATTATCGAATCGACTCTAATGGAATCATCATCAAATGGAACCGAACGGAATAATCAAATGTACTTGAATGGAATCATCGAATGGACTCGAATCGAATCATCACCAAATGGAATTGAATGGAATCATCGAATAGAATTGAATGTAATAATCATCAAATGAAATTGCATTAAATCATGGAATGAACACGAATGGAGTCATCATTGAATGGAATCGAATGGAATCATCGAATAGACTCGTATCGAATAATCATTGAATGGAATGGAAAAGAATCATCAAACGACATCAATGGAATCATCATTGAATGAAATCAAATGGAATAATTGAATTGCACAAAATGGAATCATCAAATGGAATCTAATGGAATCATCTAATGGACAAGAATGGAATAATCATTGAATGGAATCGAATGGAAACATTGAATGGACACAAATGGATCATCACTGAATGGAATTGAATGGAACCATCATGAAAACAAATCGAATAGAATCATCATTGAATGGAATCGAATGGAATCATCCTCAAATATAATCGAATTGAATCATTGAATGGAATTTAATGGAATCAAATGGAATAATCGAATGGAATTGAATGGAATTAGCATCGAATGATATCAAATGCAATCATCATCGAATAGAATGGAATGGAATCATTTAATGGAATCATCATCTAATGGAGTCAAATGGAATCATCAAATGGACTCGAATGGAATCACCATAGAATGGAATTGAATGGAATCATCGAGTGAAATCAAATGGATTCATCACTGAATGGGATCGAATGGTATCATGGAATGCACTCAAATGGAATCATCAACGAATGGTATCAAATCGTATCATCGAATAGAATTGAATGGAATCATCTTCAATTGGAATCAAAAGAAGTCACCAAATGGACTCGAATGGAATAATCATCGAAAGGAATCAAACGGAATCATTGAATGGAATCGAATGGAATCATCATCGAATGGAATTGAACGGAACCATCAAATGGACTCGAATTGAATCATCATCGTGTGGAATCAACTGGAATCATTGAATGGAATCGAATGGAATTGTCATCAAATGGCATCAAATGGAATCATCATCGAATGGAATACAAAAGAATCAACATCAAATGGAGTCGAAAGGAACCATCATTGAATGGAATCCAAAGGAATCATCAATGAATGGAACCAAATGGAGTCATCATTGAATGGAACCGAAAGGAGTCATCATCGAATGGAATCGCATGGAATCATCATCCAATGGAATCAAATGAGATCATCATCAAATGGAATCGAATGGAATCATCAAATGGAAATGAATGGAATCGTCATAGAATGAATTGAATGGAATCATCGAATGGTCTCGAATGGAATCATATTCAAATGGAACCGAATGGAAACGAATGGAATCATCACATAAAATCGAATGGAATTATCATCGAATGGACTCGAATGGAATCAACATCAAACTTAATCAAACGGAATTATTGAATGGAATCAAAGAGAATCATCGAATAGACTCAAATGGAATCATTTAGTGGAATGGAATGGAATAATCCATGGACTCGAATGCAATCATCTTCGAATGGAATCGAAAGGAATCATCGAATGGACTCGAATGGAATAATCATCGAATGGAATCAAATGGAATCCATCATCGGATGGAAACGAATGGAATCATCATCGAATGGAATCGAATGGAATCACCTAATGGAATCAGATGGAATCATCATCGAATGGAATCAAATAGAATTATGGAATGAAATCGAATGTGATTATCATCAAATGGACACGAATGGAATCATCATCCAATGGAAACCAATGGAATCAACATCGAATAGAATCGAATGGAAACACCATCGTATTGAATCGAATGGAATTATCATGAAATTGAAATGGATGGACTCACCATCGAATGGATTTGAATTGAATCATTGAATGGAATTGATTGGAATCATCATTAAATGGAATCGAATGGAATCATTGAAGGGAATCGAATGGAATCATCATCGGATGGAAACGAATGGAATCATCATATTTTGGAATCAAATGGATTCATTGAATGGAATCAGATGGAATCATTGAATGGACTTGAATGGAATCATCGAATGGACTCGAATGGAATTATTATTGAATGGAAATGAATGTAATCATCGAATGGTTTCGAATGGAATCATCATCGAATGGAATCGAATTTAGTCATCAAATGTAATCGAATGGAATCATCATTGAATGGAATCAAATAGAATCGGCATCGAATAGAATCGAATGGAATCATCATCAATGGAATCGAATGGAATTTTCTTCAAAAGGAATCGAATGGAAATATCATTGAATAGAATCAAATGGGATCATCGAATGAAACTGAATGGAATCATCATCAAAACGAATCAAAATAAAACAAAGAATAGAATCCAATGGAATCATGGAATGGAATCAAATGGAATCATTTAATGGACTTGAATAGAATCATTGAATGGACTCGAATGGAATCATTGAATGGAACCTAATGTAATCATCATCGACTGAAATCAAATGGAATCATCGAATGGAATCGAATGGAATCATCATCGAATGGAATCGAATGAAATCATGGACTGTACTCGAATGGAATCATCGAAAGCATTCAGTTGGAATCAACATTGAGTGGAATCGAAAGAAAACATCAAATGGAGTTGAATGGAATAATCGAATGGAATCATCACCGAATGGAATAGAATGGAATCATTGAATGGACCTGAAAGGAATCATCATCAAATGTAATCAAATGGAATCATCGAATGGAATCCTATGGAATCATCATTGAATGGAACAGAATGGAATAATCATCGAACGGAATCGAATGGAATCATCATCGAATGGAATCGAATGCAATCATCATCCAGTGGAATCGAATGGAATCATCAATGAATGGAATCGAATGGAGTCATCGAATGGAGTCCGTTATAAACATCATCGAATGGAACCGAACGCAGTCATCATCTAATGGAATCAAATGGAATCATCGAACGGACTCGAAGGAATCATCATCACATGGAATCAAATGGAATCATTGAATGGACTCAAATAGAATCATCATCGAATGGAATCGAATGGAATCATCGATTGGACACGAATGGAATCATCATCAAATGGAATCAAATGGAATCTTCGAATGGAATCGAATGAAATTATTGAATGGAATTGAATAGAATCATCATTTAATAGAATCGAATTGGATCATCATCGAATAGAATCTAATGAAATCATCATCGAATGGAATCTAGAGGAGGCATTATCTAATGGAATTGAGTGGATTCAGCAAGGAATGGAATCGAATGGAGAAATCGAATGGAATCCGTTGGTATCATCATCAAATGGAAATGATTGCAGTTATCATAAAATGGAATCCAATGGAATCAATGAAGGGACTCAAATTGTGTCATCATTGAATGGAATCTGATGGAATCATCGAATGGACTCTAATGGAATCATCATCGAATGGAATCAAATGGAATCATCAAAAGGAGTATAATGGAATCATCATCGAATGGAATCAAATGAAATCATCAAATGGACTCGAATGGAGTCATTCAATGGACTCGAATGGAATCATCATCGAATGGAATCTAGTAGAATCCTCGAATGGAATCAAATGGAATCATCAAATGGAATCGAACAGATTTGTAAGAAACTTACTTGAACCAAAAAATAGAAAAACAACAAAACAAAACCCCCTAAAACTGTGTTGAGAAAAGTAGACATCAGAACAGGAAATATCACTGTGGATGAAGAATAACATTTCAAACTGACAAAGGGGAAAATACACCAAAAGTAATGTAAATAAGAAATATGTGTGCACACAATAACATTACTTCAAAATACATAATATAAAACCTATTAAAACTGAAAGGTAAAATAGTAAAACCACAGTCATCCAGGGGGATTTCAGCAGTCTCCTGCCAGAAATTTTTAAATTTTGTTAAATGAAAAGTTGGTAAGTGTGGAGAAGATCTTATAAATATAATTAGCCAACTTGATCTGATTGAATCTTTTAGAATAATCTAAGGATGAGGAATGAGTTAGCAGAGAAAGAAAAGGCAGACATCAACGTGACATTAGTGTTTCAAGGCTATAAGAATACACCAATAATGGCGTGTGTGTGTGTGTGTGTGTGCAGAGGGTAAGCTTAATCTTAAAAATATTGAGTTTTTACTGACAATTCATTATTAGGAAAGATAAGAGGAAATGATATCCAGTGAGAGGCTATATGGCTGAACTCTAAGAGAAAGGTCACGGCAGAAATTGTCTACTTGACAGCTCTATAAGGGGGTCAGTCAAAATTAAGTCAGTGATGAATTCTCTGGGGTAAAAGCAGCGGAATGAGGATTAGATTTAAAACCCATGGAAGCAGAGTGACTTATGATAAAAACATGAGCTTGAAAATCCTGCAGAGAGGGCTTTAAATCCTGGGTATGATATTCTGCTTGTGTAGGCAATAGTGATAAAAACACAACAACAAAGAGAGGTAAAGAGCACTTTCCTTTGATATAAGTAAAGGGCACGTCTTATTGCACATATATATATAGGTATTCAACTGAGAGTCAACATGTTTCTCTCATTGAAACAGCAAGCTCTCCAGGCCTTCATGTTCCCAGTGAGGTAGGTAAACTTCTGATGATTATACTCACCCTCCCTCATTGCAAAGCTCCCATTGTTATTGTCTTGGCTCTGGATTCCCTCAAAAATACACTATGAAACAAAAATCTTGGGTCAGATACTTTAATCAGAAATTGAGTAAGAAAGCACAGAAGTGGAGAAAATGAAACAGAACACGAAGCCAGTAGTGCTATGTGCTCAGTAATGATGGAGGTATGGAGATTGTGTCAAAATAACTTTACAAACAGATAGGGATGCTGGAATCCCCATCTCTTGTTGCTTAAGGATTGCCTTAGAATCATTAACTCCCCACCCCTAACTCCTTCTTTGTTCCTATGTGTGGTTGAGAAGCACTGGTTAACCTCAAGAAGCTTGCAGGCAGGCCCAAAAATCAGAAAGACAGACATGATGTGGGGAGCGCTCAGTTAGCTGGAAACAGGTGAAATTCAGGTGAACACATTGAGTCCAGGACATAGGAGACAAGTCATCAGCAATATCTGCTATAGCCAGTTTTCTTTTTCTTTTTAAGAATATATGAATATATATACTTTCTATTGGGGGTCCCCAAGTCCCCCTTCGGTTTAATGATTCACATAACTCAAGAAAGCTGATTTTTTCTGTGGTTATAGTTTCTAACAGTGAAATAAACCAGATTAAAATAATCAGAAGCATAAAAACACATAAAGTTGAGTCCAGGACAAACCAATTGTGAGCTTACAGGTGTCCTTTCATAGTGGGGACTTCACACTGACTAATATTCTTTACAATGGTGTGAGACAACATGTGTGAACTTGTTGTCAACTATGGAAGCTCAGTCAGTCTTGAGTCCAGGGATTTTATTAGGCTTCCACCACATATGCATCGAGCGTCCAGTGACTGAACTTAGCTACTTAGTTCCCAACCTCCCTATGCCCTAAGAGAGGTCATATTAATATGGCATTACACAAAGTCATAGGCATACAGAAACAGGTGTTCACAAGAAATCACGTTGTTAGCATCAGCTCTTTGATATGACCTAAGTTTTCAGGTATACAAAGACTCTCATCAGGCAGCATATACCAAGGGCTCTTAGGTTATCATCTCCCAGGAGCTTGTCAAGGGCCAGTCCTGAAGACCTTAGGAATGAACAAGGGTTTGGAAAGCCATGTCTGCAGAATTAACCCTTCATTACACAATCTCCAAGAATTTTTTTATCATTAAAAATATTTTTTGATCTTTGACAATGTACCAACCAATACTGAGTAATTAGTAACAACAGTGTACTCCTGAGTACTTGCACCTGCAAGGAGAAAAAGGACAGATGCACTTACATAGGACAGATGCACTTACATAGGACAGATGCACTTGCATAGGACAGATGCAAATAGACACCACTATGACAAGTAAAGCTGGAATAATCAATAAATTCCTAAAGACAAAGTGGGGCTGGTGAGATTGGGAGACTGTTGACAGCTGCAGAAGTTGGGAAAGATCCATCATCTTGAAAACTTTTTCCCCACAAACTCACTGCCATCTCTCAAGCAATTGGTAAGCATTCCAAGAGAGCCTGTATATGACACAGATCAGGGAGAGCAGAACACTTGGGAGGTGACGAGGTCTTGGGGGCCGAGACCTTATGAATGAGATTAGTGCCTTTATAAAAGAAGCTCAGTGGAGTTCCTGTGTGCCTTCCACTATGTGAGGACATAGAAAGAAGGCACCATCTATGAACCATGAAATGGGCTCTCATCAACACTGAATTTGTGAGCATCTTGGCCTGAGATCTTACAGTCTCAAGAAGTGTGAAAAAAGAAATATCTGTTGTTTTTTAGTCACCCAGTTTATGTTATTTTGTTATAAGAGTCCAAATAGACCAAGATATTCCACTTAATATGTAGGGGAAGACAACAAAAATGGCCACACTTAGAATACTCCTGATGCTGGGAGTATGAAAACAGGAAAAACAAAACAAAACTGCTCTTGAAGGTGAAGGAGGAATATCACTGAGCTCACCAACACAGCCAGGAAAAGAACAGAAGTGTGACAAGGCTACATTCCTGAAATCCTGAGAAAAAGTACCTGCATAAGACTGAGATGAAATTACCTACACAATTTATGATTGAAATCCCAAAAAGAAAAGAGGAAAAAATAATGTAGCAAAATAAATATATTTCAAAATAACTGCCAAAAATATTCTAAAAGAAGTGACAGAAAATCCAACTTCAGATATAGGAAACTCAGAGAATGTCAAACAGAACAAAAATAAATAAGAATTCCATCTTGAAAAGTCTTTAAAAAATCAACTCTAAATTTTATATCTTTCTCCAAATATATAGAGATATAAATAGGTTATCATCAAGATATGGAGAAAGCCATATCATGGAAACACTAAAATAAAGCTGTGGAAGGACTACATTGATATTAGACACAACAGAGTTCGGAACAAGAAATAGTATCAGAGATGAGAGATAATAAATAATATAATAATAAATTCTCAAGATGTAAACATCTTACTAATTAGGATATGCAGCTAACAACAGAACCTCCAAATACATGAGGTAAAACAGGAAAGAAATCAAAGGTGAAATACAAAAATCAAAAATTATATTTGCAGACTTCAACACTTTTGTCTTAGTAATGGAAAGACTAGGCACAAACTCAGTAATCATGTGGAAAATAAGAACAACAATATCACCAACAAGACATCCAATCTTCAATGGCAGATACTCTTTCCTTTCAAGTGAAAAGAAAACAGTATGGCATATTGTCTAACAAACCCAGAATTTCTAATATTTGCGTTCTTCCTTCCTTCTTTCCATCTTCCTTTCTCTTCTCTTCCCTTGCCTTCTTCCTTCCTTTCTTCTTTTCCGCTTTCTTTTCCTTTCTTTTTTCTCCTTCCTTCCTTCTTTCCTTCCCCTTATTCTTCCTTCCCTCCTCCCTCCCTTGCTTTCTCCTCCCTTTTCTTCCTCCTTTTCTCTTATTCTTTCTCACTTTCTTTCCTTTTTTCTCCCTTCCTCCCTCCCTTTTTTCCTTCCTCCCTCCCTTCCTTTCCTGTTTCCTTCCTTCCTCCCTTCTATTTTCTTTGTTTGCCTTCCTCCCTTTTACCATTCTCTCTTCCTCCTTTCCTTCCTCCTTCCTTCTTTTCTCACTTTCTTTCTCTCTTTCTTGACTTCTTGCTTTCTTTTTTCTCCTTTCCTGCCTTTCTCCCTTCCTCCCTCCCTCCCTTCTCTCATTTCCTCCTTTTCTTTCTTCTTTCCTTCCTTCCTTCTTTTTTCTTTCTTTTCTTTCTTTCTCTTTACTACAATTCATATTATTTTAAAAAATTAAGAAAGAGAGGCAGAAAAATAAAGAACACTTTAATCTTCAGGCAAATAGATTATGTCTGCTGTAGAGAAAATAATGGCCTCCCAAAAATGTTCATGTCCTAATTACCAGAGTCTAACATACAAATATGTTAGGTTGCATGGCAGTGGGAAATTTGATTTCAAGTGAAATTAATGTTCCAAAGGCAGTGGGGGCAAAAAGCCACGGTGGCAAAAAGGCGCGGCGGCAGGGGCAAAAAGCCACAGCGGCGGTTGGAGAAAGACACGGCAGTGGGGGAAAAAAGCCACGCTGAGGGGGTAGAAATCTGCTGAGGTGGGTCAAAAAGCAGCAGGTGTGGGGGCAAAGAAACACAAAAAGCCGCAGCAGCTGGGGGAAAAGGCTGCTGCGGCTGGGGTAAAAAGCCACAATGGCTGGGGTAAAAAGCCATGGTGGCAGGGGGCAAAAAAGCTGCAGCGACAGGGGCGAAAAGCTGCAAAAAGCCAAGGCAGTGGGAGCAAAAACTTCGGCGGCGGAGGCAAAAAACCATGGTGGCAGGAGCAAAAAGCCACGGCGGTGGTGGTTAAAAAAATAGCTGCGGTGGCAAAAACCCGTGACGGGGGCAAAAACCCACAGTGGCAGTGGAAAAAACAGCGGTGGCAAAAAGCCACAGAAGTGGGGGCAAATAGCCCCGGCGGCGGGTGCAAAAAGCCGCAGCAGGGAGGGCAAAAAGCCTTGGCTTCGGGGGCAAAAAGCTGCAGCAGCAAAAAGCTGTAGCTGCGGGGGCAAAAAGCCATGGCAGCGGGAGGCAAAAAGCCGCAAAAACAGCGGCAGCCAGAACAAACACCAAGGCGGCAAAAAGCCTCAGTGGCGGGGGCTAAAAGCCAAGGCGGCGGGGAGTAAAATGCCGCAAAAAGCCGTGGTGGCGAGGGCAGAAAGCTGTGGCTTCGGGGACAAGAAGCCATAGCGGCGGGGCAAAAAGCCACGGCGGCGAGGGCAAAAAGCTGTGGCTTTGGGGGTAAAAAGCCGTAGTGGCGGGGCAAAAAGCCACGGCGGCAAGGGCAAAAAGTTGTGGCTTCGGGGGCAAAAAACCATAGCAGCGGGGCAAAAAGCAGTGGTGGCGGCGGGGCCAGAAAAACCACAAAATCCCGCGGCGATGGGGGGAAAAGCTGCAGGGGCAAAAAGCCGCAGCAGCAGGGGGAAAAAAGCCGTAAAAAGCAGCAGCGGCGGGGGGGCAAAAACCGTGGCGGCAAAAAGCCTCAGCGGCAGGAGCAAAAAGCCATGGCGGCAGGGGCAAAAACCGCAGTGGAAAGAAGACTCAGTGGCAGGAGCAAAAACGATGGCTGTGGGGGGCAAAAAGCCATGACTGCAAAAACTGCGGTGGTGAGCCCAAAAAGCCATGGCGGTGGGGATAAAAAGCCACAGCTGCAAAAAGCAGCGGTGGTGGGGATAAAAAGCCGTGGCGGCAAAAACCCGCAGCAGCACAGGCAAAAAGCCGTGGCAGCAGGGGCAAAAAGCCACGGTGGCAGGGGCAAAAAGCCGCGGCGGTGAGGGCAGAAAGCTGTGGCTTCGGGGGCAAATAACCACGGCGGCCAAAAGCCGTAGTGGCAGGGCAAAAAGCTGCAGCAGTGGGGGCAAAAAGCAGCGGGAGCGGGTGCAAAAACCCACAAAAACCCATGGCAACGGGAGGAAAAAGCCATGGTGGCAAAAAGCCACAGTGGCGGGGGGTAAAAAGCCATGGCGGTGAGGGGGCAAAAAGCCACAAAAAGCAGCGTCGGCGGGGACAAAAACCACGGCGGCAAAAAGCCTCAGTGGCAGGAGCAAAAAGCCATGGCGGCGGAGGCAAAAAGCCGTGGCAGCAAAAACCCGTGGTGGCAAAAACCCGTGGTGGCAGGGGCAAAAAGCCGTGGCTTTGGAGGCAAAGAGCCGTGGCTGTAAAAAGCCATAGTGGCGGGAGCAAAAAGCCACAAAAAGCCACGGTGGCGGGGGCAAAAGCCACGGCGCCGAGGGCAAAAAGCCGTGGCTTCGGGGGCAAAGAGCCGCAGTGGCAAAAAGCTGCAAAAAGCCAAGGTGACGGGGCAAAATGCCACGGCGGCGGGGTTAAGAAGCCACGGCGGCGGGGCAAAAAGCCGCGGCGGGAGAAACCCGCAGCAGCGAGGGCAAAAATCCATGGCAGCAGTGACGAAAAGCCACAGCAGCGGTGGCAGAAAGCCGTGAGGCGGGGGAAAAATCCGCAGCAGCGGGGTCAAAATGGCACTGCAGCGGGCACCAAAAGCCACAGAAAGCCCCAGTGGTGGGTCAAAGAGTCGCAAAAAGCACCAGCGTTGGGGGCAAAAAGCCGCAGAGGCGGTGGCAAAAAGCAACGGAGGCAAAAACCCACGGCAGTGGCGACAAAAAGCAGTGGTGGCAAAAAGCCGCGGTGGCAGGGGCACAATAGTGGAAATGGGGTAGAAGACCAACTCAGCTTGGCATTCCTGGACTGTGATGTGGAAGGAAAAGTGCAGCGGAAGACAAAGATGTAAGTAGGCTTGACTCAGTGCAGCTAAGAACTCAAATGTTATCTTGATGTTATCTATCAACTAATTTCTTGTATTTTAGTTGAGAAGGGGTTTTACCACGTTGGCCAAGATTGTCTGGATCTCCTGAGTTCATGATCCACGCACCTCAGCCTCCCAAAGTGATGGGATTAGAGGCATGAGCCACAAACTGCTCAAAAAACCTATTAATTAAAAAATGTGTATGTAGCCATTTTCAATCTACCATGTCCATTAGCAGATAAACACTACAAGCAAAATAACAACAATAAAATAAACATAGACTTAGAGTAGATACTCTGATTTATTTAATAAAAATTTGAAAGTAGACCAAATTACACTATGATAAAAAAAATCTGTTACTATTGAGGATGAGGGTTAGTGTTTGGAAAGGGGCAGGAGAAGTATCACTATTTTTAGTAATGTTCTATTTTCGTACATGGCTATAAGCAAATACATGTGTTTCATTAATCAAGCTATCCATATTTAATCATTGTACTTTTCTGCATGTATGATATATGTCAATAAAATGTCTTAAATTATATACAGCAAAAATAGACAACACCACAAGAAGACATACACGAATGTTAAACCTAGAGAGAAATTTGAATATAAGTAAGTCTCTGAATGACTGCTAGAACAAACCGAAAAATAACCAAGATGGAGAGGTTTGGAACAGCATGACTAGCAAAATTGACATATCTGTCTTTTAATATAGGCAGAAACATAGTTAGATAAAAAAAGGACTTGTCTCAGAGTATGATTTCTGAAAATAGTGGAATCGACTTTGAATCTAGTAAGTACATATAAATAAATGTCTTAAAACTCCTCTTATGTTAGCTAATTAAGAAATATTATTGTAATAGATATTAGAAAATATTTTAATAAATTGAGTGGATTTCACATGCTAAGGAAATGATCTTACTTGCATTTGATAGTTCAATTAGATACATATATACCTATAGGTAGTTTAAAATATTTCTAATAACCTTATATACTTTTAAAAAGCAGTGATATCTATTTGCACTCTCTGGTCTATAGAGTACACATACCAAACATGATTATGGCTCTTCTGCTATAAACTTCAAATGTCTAATTAATACAAAAATCTAGAATGAGAAGAGTTCTTTGCATTTTTTTTTTTTACAAAATAGAATATAGGAAGGATAGCTACAAATATACCTGACACACTTATCTGTGAGTATGGTGTTAGCATTTTTATTTTATTTTATTTTATTTTATTTTATTTTATTTTTGAGAGAGGGTATCACTTTGTCACCCAAGATGGAGTGCAGTCATGTGATTAGAGCTCAGTGAAGCCTTCACATACTGTGCTCAAGTGATTCTCCCACCTCAGCCTCCTGAGTAGCAGGGACTGCAGGTGCATGACACCATACTAGCTAATTATTGTAAAGATGGGGTTTCACCATGTTGCCCTCGCTGATCTCCATCTCCTGAACTCAAGAGATCTGGCCACGTTGGCCTCCCAAAGTGCTGGGATTATAGTTTTGAGGCACCGCGATCAGCCCAGCCTTAAAAAAGGCAGACTAGAGATCTTTATCTATGTATATCTATATCTATCTATAAAACAAACATATGTGTTTATTATATAAAAATATATATTATTAATATTATATAAAAATTTTTTTTCAAGGTAGAAATATATAAAGAGGGTGCATGTAGAGCCTGGGGCATTGTGTAGTGAAGCTCAAGGCCTCTGAAGAAATGCCCCTTGCCTCTTTTGTCTGGGCTAGAATCCAAGAAGGGAAATCAGCAGATGCACTGGTTCCCAGGTTCTTGGCATAATACAGAGAGAAACATGTTTGAGGTAGGGTAGCGTTAAACAGCCTTGTTCTTACTCTCCTGTTTTATGTAGTGAGCAGAGACTAGCTTCATGAAAACAGACTGTGACAGTCAAGGCTCTCTGATATTTTGTGCAGCATTCATTGAGAAATTCTAGCACCTGAAGACGTCTGGGCCATTTGAGGGTAGGTGCAGGGGAGGAAAGGGAAGTTTGCATCCCTCCTGCTGTGGAGAGAACCCGTGGGAAGCACAGACCTTGTCCTAACTGAAGGCAGACCCCCTTGCTAACCAGCTTCTCATCAGCCAACCCTGGATGAGTTTCCATGTCTATTTACTAAATAATCCTTATTGCTTTTCTTCATATAGGCAAAGTATGGTTTACAGGGAATATTGTTCCCTTGAACACCCATTGTGCAAATCCCTTTCTGTTGTGGGAAAACAGGCTTCCATATGTGTCTTATTGGGAAACACATAGGCAATTTCTATGTTTTTACTGCATCTATTTCAGGGATATGGGAACTGAATAGTGCCCATCAAAGGCTCACCTGATGTTGGAAATTGATCTGAGAGCGTGGAAGGACAGAATTATTTCTTTGTTCCTGGGCAGCGGTGGTTGAGGGATCATTTTGTGGCAGCTACAGTGGCAATGATGGAGGCAGAACGGAGGGCTCAGTACCAAGACAAGGAGAGATTTGGCCTCACAATGGCAGCATTGCAGGGGTGCGCTCTACAGAGCATTTGCTCACATGGTTTTGGGCATTGTCTCTAACTACATTGCTTCCCCAATAGGTTGACCCATTCTAAATAACTCCTTTTCTCTTTAAAACAGAAAAGTTCATTTGTATGACTTGCAATTGTAAATGACACCAATTGGCCAGTTATCATTCAAATTCTCTGTTACTTAATCCTGCCTTTTCCTAACGTATGCAACTTTCCTTTAAAAAATTGGACACTTTGTTGCTTACTCATTGTCTTTACACATTTTAAAATGTTGCTTTATGCCCCCAATCCCTAACTACATTTTCGATGTTTTGCAAGTGGAGTCCATGTGTTCTTGATTTACATGAAACTCAAAATAATGGTTATAGTAACTAGTACTTCATAATTAAGCAAAAAGCTCTTATTGAAAAATGACAGAACTATACATAGAGATGACAACATGGAGAGATATTTCCTGAGATCACAAAGTTATGGTATGGCAGAACTAGAACTTTGAGTAGAGATTCTGTGTTCCTAATCATTATTTCTACCACCAGCTTTCTATTTTGATGTTAATAATGTTCTTAGGTGGGAAACCCTACATATTTGCCAATGTTTAGTTCATTGACAAAGAAATATAAAGAGCTTCAAGAACACTCTAATCTTTAAAAAATAAAATATCTATAATTGGCCATACGAAAAAATTGGTACTTGACATATACTGAGATCGTTTAATTTTGTGCTAGACAAATGAAGTCATAGAACAGAATGTGCTTTAAATATTATGAATAGTGCTTGTGTGTGTGTTTGTGTGTGTGTGTGTGTTTATAGATGCATATTAGGCCGCTGTAAAATTTTACTATACTTTCCAGGAGAGAGACTGCCAACTTTTGAACCTAATTAGAACAAGTATATTGCTTCTTCATATTTTTATTAAGGCAAAGAGAGTCTAGTTAAAACTAATTCAACTTATCATGGAAATGTTATAAATTGCTGTGAAGTGAGTTGCTGGCTATGGCTTGTCAGAGCAAGTATATTATACAAATCTTAGGGGAGAATTAGTGCTTATGCATTCAAATCAAATCATCTTGCAGCACACTGAGAAAAAGGTTAGATTTTTAAAATAATTTTGAAGTCATGAAAGGAGCAAATATGCTCAACTAAGAGCCTAGCAACCCTCAATGACCAATTCCCCTTTTATATAGTTTGGTATGTGAATTAGAATCCCAGAATCTACAAATTCCTCTGGGTGTGGGTGCTGCATTTTGAGGATTTTATAACACTGCCATCACCAAGCTCTCTTTTGATATTCACTTTAAGGAGATAATTTACGGGAAACCAGAGAGCATAAAACAAAGTAAATATCTATCTATATAGATAGATACATCTCCATATCATTGATAGGATACCTTCTGGCTGAGTGTGAGTACAACCTATGGCTGTGGTTGGAGAGAACATGTGTTCCACCTGAATGGCAGATCAGGATTATTCCTTCTCATCTGCTGCAATGGCTCAATGTGTTAAGGAGAGGAGCGAGACAGCAAGAACTGCATTCATTCAGTCATACAGAACAAAAGGAGGAAAGTCGCCCAGCCCTCTAAACTGACCCAGAACCCAGATCATGTCTCAACTGCTACCTCTACTACTTAGAAAGAAGTAACTCCGCCAAAGCAGGGTCCTGGACAAATATATTTTTATTGATCTTATACAAATAGATGAAGATGGACTTGGATGTTAAGAAAAATAATACTATAAAAAATCAAGAGTAGACAGTCCCTCCTAGACTTAAATTAAGAGTGTGTACATTAGATAATTTAAACCAATGTATCAGGTAAAAACTTGAACAAACCTTTTGGCCTCTTCCATAAAATTCAGGGAAGCATGTCGTCCACAAAACAGAATCAAAATATAAATGAAAGACTGGCTTAAGATGAAAGGAAACCTTATAAATGAAAAGAAGCGAGATGAGAGACACTTAACTGAGAATGAAAAAAAACTGAGTGGACAAAATAATCAAGAGAAGATGAATCTTCAAATCAGAAAGAGGGAAAAAAGCTCATTTGATACTATGGGAACTCAAAAGAGAGTGAACACAAATGTAAAAATTCCAAGAGTACAGAAAAGTAGCATAACTAAATTAAGAGCATGAGAAAATGTATACAATTCTGAGTAATAAGAACAGAAATCAAAAGTTAGTATTGTAAGTTATATTTTAGTAGAGCAACACTGAAGATGAATGAAAACAAGAAATAATATTAAATATGAACATAAGGAGAACAGAATAATATTTTTAAAATTTTTACTTTCTAAGTTTACCTGAAATTTTAATTTTGGTTTCTTATGTAATACCAGAGTTATTAGGAAGGTATTAGCTAATAACACTATTTTCAGTGACATTTTAAGTATTTGTCCTAGAAAAATTTATATTTTTATAAAATGTATATTTAAAAATACATTGTGTGTATATACATCAATCATATGTATCGATTTCTGTTTTTTTTTTGAATTGCAAATGAAATTTGTATTTTTGTGTTCCTGGAATAAAATAAACTTGAATGGATTGTAATATGTTATTCATGCTGTACTTCAATGTATTTGAATTATTTAAGAATGTTACATTTATAGTTAACAGATATTGGCCTATAAATTTTCTTTCCTATAATGATGCTGTGAGACAATCTAAGAAGAATTAAAATTTAAATTCATGTATTCCTACATTTTCCTCTGTTCTCTAACTGTAATATGTTTTAAATACAGATGGAGGAACAGATAGATGTTTGATAAATAGGTGTATAATAGACAGATCATCCAAAATTCTTATTCTTATGGTTTTATGTAGTCAGTAATTATCTCTATTTTTCTACATGTTTATCCTTCCAATTTAGCCCATTACTTCCTGCACCTTTGATGTCATATACATAAACAGGAAATAACACATGGTGGCCAGGATGTAGAGAGAGCCACAGGACTTGTGAATAAAATCCACAGGCAAGGATGTGGCAATTCGTTTTGCAGTATTGGAGGGAATGCCAAACGCTATGTTTGCTGTGGAAAAGAGTATGGTAGTTCCTCAAAACATTAAAATGGTACTGCCATATGATTAATCAGCTTCACATCTCAGGATAGTAAAAGAATTGAAAGCAGAGTCTTGAAAAAATATTTGCACATCCATGTTTGCAGCAGCGTTATTGGCAATAGCTAAAACGTAGAAGCAATTGAAGTGTCCAACAACAGATGAAAGGATAAGCACAATATGATATATGCATACAATGGAATATTATTCAGCCTTAAACTTGAGGGAAATATTCTGACATATGTTGCAACTTGGATGAAACTTGAGGATATTATGCCAAGTGAAATAAGTTAGTCAGTGAAGGACAAATAGAGTATAATTCCATTTGTATTAAAGTGGACAGAATCATAGAGATGGTACAATGATGGTTGCCAGAAGCTGGGGGGAGGAAGAAATGGGGAAGTATTGTTTAATGGGTATAGAGTTTCAGTTTTACAAGATGAAACGAATTATGGAGATGGATGGTAGGGACGGCTGCACAATGTTAAGACTATATTTAATACCACTGAACTGTACACTTAAAATTGTTAACATAGTACATTTTATGTTATGTGTACTTTACCACAATAAAAAAATGAAATGCCTTAAGAATATTTTCATGAAAAAGCCCACATAAAATTCATTTTAATGCACGTGTTTATGCATAGCTTTCTATTTTTCTCTTTTCTCTTTATATTCCAAATTAAAAAAGGTGTTTTATTTCCAAATTAAAAAGGTGTTTATATTCCAAATTTAAAAAATCCAAAGGTACAGTCAACTACAAAAAAAAAGCTTAGTCTCATTAATCATTATGAAAATGCAAATGGTAACCGAAAGAAGATAAAACTACAATTCAAAGAGAAACCCTAAAATTTCAACCCCCCAAAAAGTCTGGGTTTTGGAGATCTGGGATGGAATAGGGTTCCTAACCTCCTAACCTGACATCAATGAAAGAACCAAACTAACTTCAAAGTCATGACTTTATTTTTATAGCAACGAGGTTGCCAAGAACTGAGTCAAAATGTGAGGGAAAACAAGCACCTGCAAGGAGAAAGAGGACAGATGCACTTACATAGGACAGATGCAAATAGACACCACTATGACAAGTAAAGGTGGAATAATCAATAAATTCCTAAAGACAAAGTGGAGCTGGTGAGATTGGGAGACCGCTGACAGCTTCAGAAGTTGGGAAAGATCCATCATCTTGAAAACTTTTTCCCCACAAACCCACTGTGATCTCTCAAGCAATTGGTAAGGAATCCAAGAGAGTCTGTATATGACACAGATCAGGGAGAGCAGAACACTTGGGAGGTGAACAGGTCTTGGGGGCCGAGCCCTTATGAATGGGATTAGTGCCTTTATAAAAGAAGCTCAGTGGAGTTCTTTTGTGCCTTCCACTACGTGAGGACATAGAAAGAAGGCACCATCTATGAACCATGAAATGGGCTCTCATCAACACTGAATTTGTGAGTATCTTGGCCTGAGATCTTACAGCCTCAAGAAGTGTGAAAAAAGAAATATCTGTTGTTTTTTAGTCACCCAGTTTATGTTATTCTGTTATAAGAGTCCAAATAAGAATGCTTGTGATTTTTGTACATTGATTTTGTATCCTGAGACTTTGCTGAAGTTGCTTATCAGCTTAAGGAGATTTTGGTCTGAGACAATGGGGTTTTCTAGATATACAATCATGTCGTCTGCAAACAGGGACAATTTGACTTCCTCTTTTCCTAATTGAATACCATTTATTTCCTTCTCCTGACTAATTGCCGTTGCCAGAACTTCCAACACTATGTTGAATAGGAGCGGTGAAAGAGGGCATCCCTGTCTTGTGCCAGTTTTCAAAGGGAATACTTCCAGTTTGTGTCCATTCATTATGATATTGGCTGTGGGTTTGTCATAGATAGCTCTTATTATTTTGAAATACGTCCCATCAATACCTAATTTATTGAGAGTTTTTAGCATGCAGTGTTGTTGATTTTTGTCAAAGGCGTTTTCTGCATCTATTGAGATAATCATGTAGTTTTTGTCTTTGGCTCTGTTTATATGATAGATTACATTTATTGATTTGCATATATTGAACCAGCCTTGCATCCCACGGATGAAGCCCACTTGATCATGGTGGATAAGCTTTTAGATGTGCTGCTGGATTCGGTTTGCCAGTATTTTATTGAGGATTTTTGCACCAATGTTCATCAAGGATATTGGTCTAAAATTCTCTTTTTTTGTTGTGTCTCTGCCCGGCTTTGGTATCAGGATGATGCTGGCCTCATAAAATGAGTTAGGGAGGATTCCCTCTTTTTCTATTGATTGGAATAGTTTCAGAAGGAATGGTACCAGTTCCTCCTTGTACCTCTGGTAGAATTCGGCTCTGAATCCATCTGGTCCTGGACTCTTTTGGTTGGTAAACTATTGATTACTGCCACAATTTCAGCTCCTGTTATTGGTCTATTCAGAGATTCAACTTCTTCCTGGTTTAGTCTTGGGAGAGTGTATGTGTCGAGGAATGTATCCATTTCTTCTAGATTTTCTAGTTTATTTGCGTAGAGGTGTTTGTAGTATTCTCTGATGTTAGTTTGTATTTCTGTGGGATCGGTGGTGATATCCACTTTATCATTTTTTATTGTGTCTATTTGATTTCTCTCTCTTTTATTAGACCAAGATATTCCACTTAATATGTAGGGGAAGGCAACAAAAACTGCCACACTTAGAATACTCCTGATGCTGGGAGTATGAAAACAAGAAAAACAAAACAAAACTGCTCTTGAAGTTGAAGGAGGAATATCACTGAGCTCACCAACACAGCCAGGAAAAGAACAGAAGTGTGAGAAGGCTACATTCCTGAGACCCTGAGAAAAAGAACCTGCATAAGACTGAGATGAAATTACCTATTCTAGTAATGATTGAAGTCCCAAAAAGAAAAGAGGAAAAAATAATGGAGCAAAAGAAATATTTTTCAAAATAACTGCCAAAAATATTCTAAAATAAGTGCAGAAAATTAAACTTCAAATATAGGAAACTCAGAGAATGTCAAATAGAACAAAAAGAAATAAGAATTACATCTTGAAAAATCTTTAAAATATCAAGTCTAAATTTTATATCTTGCTCCAAATATATAGAGATATAAATAGGTTATCATCAAGATATGGAGAAAGCCATATCATGGAAACACTAAAATAAGGCTGTGGAAGGACTACATTGATATTAGACACAACAGAGTTCGGAACAAGAAATACTATCAGAGATGAGAGATAATAGATAATAGAATAATCAATTCTCAAGAAGATGTAAACATCCTACTAATTAGGGTATGCAGTTAACAACAGAACCTGCAAATACATGAGGTAAAACAGGAAAGAAATCAAAGGTGAACTACAAAAATCAAAAATTATATTTGCAGACTTCAACACTTTTGTCTTAGTAATGGAAAGACTAGGCACAAACTCAGTAACCATGTGGAAGATAAGAACAACAATATCACCAACAAGACATCCAATCTTCAATGGCAGATACTCTTTCCTTTCAAGTGAAAAAAAAAAAAACAGTACGGCATATTGTCTAACAAACCCAAAATTTCTAATATTTGCGTTCTTCCTTCCTTGTTTCCATCTTCCTTTCTCTTCTCTTCCCTTCCCTTGCCTTCTTCCTTCCTTTCTTCTTTTCCTCTTCCTTTTCTTTTCTTTTTTCTTTTCCTTTATTTCTTTTTTCTTTTTTCTCCTTCCTTCCTTCTTTCCTTCTTTCTTTCCTGTTCTTCTACCTTCCCTCCTGCCTCTCTTCCTTTCTCGCTCCCTTTTCTTCCTTCTTTTCTCATATTCATTCTTTCTTTCTAACGTTCTTGCTTTCTTTCCTTTTTTCTACCTTCCTCCCGCCCTCCTTTTCCTCCTTCTTCCCTCTCTTCCTTTCCTCTTTTCCTTCCTTCCTTCGCCTCTTTATTTTCTTTGTTTCTTTGACTTCCTCCCTTTTACCATTTTCTCTTCCTCCTTTCCTTCCTCCCTTCCTCCTTTCTTTCTTTCTTTCTCTTTCTTTCATTCATTCTTTCTTTCTTTCTTTCCTTCTTTCTTTCTTGTGTTCATGCTTTCTTTTTTCTCCCTTCCTGCCTTTCTCCTTTCCTCCCTCCCTCCCTTCTTCCCTCATTTCTTCCTTCTTTTCTTTCTTCTTTCTTTATTTCTTTCCTTCCTTCCTTCTTTCCTTCCTTCTTTTTCTTTCTTTTCTTTTCTTTCTTTCTCTTTATTACAATTCATATTATTTTAAAAAAATTAAGAGAGGGAGACAGAAAAATAAAGAACGCTTTAATCTGCAGGTAAATAGATTATATCTGCTGTAGGCAAAAGAATGGCCTCCAAAAAAATTTCATGTCCTAATTCCCAGAGTCTAACATACAAATATGTTAGGTTGCATGGCAGTGTGAAATTAGATTTCAAGTGAAATTAAGGTTGCGGGAAAATGATAGAGAGATTGTCTTCAATAGGTGGGATCAATGAAATGACAAACTTCCTTATAAGTGAAAGAAGAAGGCAGAAGAAAGGCAACCTTGGAGGTGGTGGCATGAGAAATTACTCAACATCACTGACTTTTAACATACAAGAATGAGGGCCCAGTGCGGTGGCTCACTCCTAATCCCAGCACTTTGGGAGGCTGGGGTGGGTTTATCACGAGGTCAGGAGATCGAGACCATCCTGGCTAACATGGTGAAACCCCATCCCTACTAAAAATACAAAAAATTAACTGGGCATGGTGGCAAGTGCCTGTATTCCAAGCTACTCAGGAAGCTGAGGCAGAAGAATCACTTGAATCCAGGAGGCAGAGGTTGCAGTGAGCTGAGATCATGCCAATGCACTCCAGCCTGGGTGACAGAAGGAGACCCCATCACCAAAAAAAAAAAAAGAAAAATAGGTATAAGAATGAGGTCATGTTCCAAGGAATAAAGGTGGCCTCTGGATGCTGAAAAAAATCAAGTAATAAATTCTGCCACATAGCCCTCAGAAAGACTGCAGCCTTGCCCAAAACTTGATGTTAGCCCTGTGAGTTTCATTTAAGGCTTCTGAACTACAGAACTGTAGGATTAACGGTCACTTTATTATAAGATATGAAGTTTGTGGTAATTGGTTACAGCAGCAAGAGGAAGTTTATATTGTAATTGTATCATGAAAATGAGAACCGTAATTTACAACTGCTTTTAATACTGCACTTAGATGTTTGAAATCACGTACATGGAAATGATCTCTATGTGCATGAGGGAGGATAACAAATTGATGCCAAAATAATGCAAATGCAAATCTTACACTCATTTCTATGTAGGTTTTATTTAATCTTTGAAATTAAAATGAAATAAAAAGATGGTGATCTTTTGATGAAATTAGACTAAAATGAACAATAACAAAATAAGAACTTACTTATATTCTTTATATGGTCAATAAAGAAGTGAGAGTGGAAAAAAACAAGATCAAATGAAGGTGATGATTTAAGAATTTGGAAAGATAGCTGAAACTACAAAATGGTATATAACCAGTGAACACTTAGACACACTGATTGATGAACTTCAGCTTTTGGCTTTGTGAGAGCATAACATGAGAGCAGCTGAGGTTTGCAAATTTGTAATCTCCTTGTGGAAAACCAGGGGAAAACACATCTCAGCCTAATAAGACTTATCTACTAAAGAGTCTAGACTTGATCCATTTGTCCTTGTAATTCAAAAGCTAATTCAAATACTGATCTGATATATTGTGTGAACAACCATTGCTGATTTTCATCGCATACCTGGCATTCTCTTTTATCTGATATCTAAAATATTTGGTAATTCCTGGACTTTCTCTTTTCAAACCCAGTACGGTTTAATTTGAGTCTTAGAACAGTTGTCTTTGAGAAATTCTTCCCTCTACTGCATCTGTGAATGGGCATAGCATGGTTACATGCATATTGTCACTCCATAGAACATTTGTTATATTAAAGACAAAGTTTAAAGCAAGAGCTTTAACTTACTGGTTTTACTAATGTTTCCTCCCCAATAGCCACAACAATATTGATACTCTCACACCTTTTAACATAAAGCTTGGTGTTGTCTATTTTTCAGGTGCTGTCATCTATATGATCTCGGTATTTTAAAAATCAGCTTCCAGCACATATGGTGGTTCATGCTTGTAATACCAGCAGTTGAAGAGGCTGAAATGAGAGGATTCCTTGAGCCCAGGAGATCAAAAGCAACCTGGGCAACATAGCAAGACCCAGTCTCTGTCAAAAGCTAAAAAAAAAATGTGGGCATGGTGATGTGCACCTGTTGTCCTAGCTATTTGGGAGGCCAAGGTGGAAGGATTGCTTCAGCTTGGGAGGCTGAGGCTGCAGTGAGCAGTGATTGCACCACTGAACTCTAGCCTGGGCAACAAAGAAAGACCCTATCTCAAAAAAATATATATAATAAAAACAAAAATCAGCTCTCATTGATTTCTATGTAAATATGCACAGGTGATGTCCATATAGACATAAATAATAATATTTCTGAAAATAGGTCCATACGATCTTCAAAATGTAAAATGCCTATCTGTGTAATTGACTGGTCAGTCTCATTAATGAATATAGATTCAATTCTACTTTCTTGTTCTCCATAAATTATATAATCTAGCTTTTCATTTCACTTATTTACTAATAACAACAGGAAGAATGACAAGATATCTATTTTGGAAAATTACTCTGATAGGAGTAAAGCTGAAACAATGATAGAATAGCAAGGAAAACTAGAAAAAAGTATGGTCTTCTGATATTCTATCACATCACATACTAAAGGCCTCATAAAACTCAGATATTTTATCTAAAAATGTTACTTTCCTCATAGGAATGATCAAAGCATGAGACTACAATTGTATTAAAATGTGCTTGTATCACAAGCACAGGTGCTAAAAAGGAGGGGAAAACATCATTACTGATATTTTCAATGTATGTTTTACTTTTCATCAACATGAACCTCAACTTAATATGATGCAGATTGAAGGAAATCAACCATAATTCCATATGAAGAAGGCCTGTGATATTTTATGGGAAAATAAATAGAGAAAATGCTAACAGAAACCCTATTAAGCATGAAGCTTTATGGAGCAAACACAAATCCAGTGGTGAAAGATACACAATCGAGTTCTGTTTGTTGTCTTGGAACAATACGGTTTAGAGGTGACTGGCGGGTGAGGAGAACATATGCGAGCTCACCAAAGAGAAAAGCTGAATGAGGCAATGCCTCTTCCTGACCATATCTCTTACTCAGATAACTATATAATTTATTGTCCAGTAAAGGGTATATTAAAAAATCATATTAAAAGTCATACAGTGAAGTTGTCCAGGGAAATCAAGAATTAACAGTATCACTCTGACAGTAATGAACAGGCGGGTTCCCTCAAGATAGACTAGGACATGACCCCACACTGGCAGGTAGTAGTACCCGGAAAGAACCCATGGAAAATCTTTACCTTACGCTTGAGATAGGGACCGGGCTGAAGTGAAAACCAGACATAAAATTCTATCTAAAATAAATCCACAATCGAAGAAAATATGTGGTGTACAGGCATAGAATGTCTTTACTGGATCATTTAAATAGTAAGACAAATTCAACTTTTTACATTGTTTTCTTTTCCTCCACTTAGGGCTAGAGGTTTGTCTCTGGAGAGTGACTGTCAATTGGAGCCCTGCCTTTCTGGGTTTCTGGTCAGGGGGTTGTGGATGCTTAACATGTGCCTTTCACAGGACATTTCCTTACCCCAGCAGTGGCCAGGTGTGCATCCCACGACCAGGTCTCCCTCTCACAGAACATTTGTTGAGACTACGAGATGCCTGGTGACTGTTGCCTGACCTGTGTCCTGTGTATTTCTGACAAGAGCCACTCTCAGAGACCCTGGCCAGGAGGAGAGTTAGGTTCCAGTGTAGGTCAGCTCAGACCCATGGAGGCCACAGAACCAAACATGGGAAATCACAGAAGTAGGTTTATTACTCACAGATCCAGAGAGAAGAGGGTAGCTGAGAAGAGGGTTTAGCTGTGTCCCCAGCCAAATCTCATCTTGAATTCCCACATGTTGTGGGAGGGAACAGGTGGGAGGTAATTGAATCATGGGGGCAGGTCTTTCCCATGCTGTTCTTCTAATAGTGAATATGTCTCACAAGATCTGATGGTTTTATAAAGGGGAGTTTCCCTGCACAAGCTCTCTTGTCTTGTCTGCTGCCATGTGAGACGTGCCTTTCACCTTGTGCCATGATTGTGAGGCCTACCCACCCATGTGGAACTGTGCATCTATTAAACCTCTTTCTTCTAGAAATTACCCAGTCTTGGGCATGTCTTTACCGGTGGTGTGAAAATGGACTAATAGAGTAGCACACCTCATAGGGCTTAACAAAATGGGGAAGATGAGTGGGGAGCAGGAGAGAGAAAAGGGGTCTGTGGGACTCCAGCCTTTATTGGGCCCAGAATATTACCCAAATAAGTTTTCCACGGGGCACTAGTCTGTGGGGTGAGTGCCAGCAGGCACATTTCTTGACTCCCGCTGCAACTGAGCAGGTCACTCTGGCGTGTGGGGGCTGTCCATGTGCACTGTGAAGTCTGTGGGGTGAGTCAGGTAGGTTGTATCCAATGGTTCTATAGCTGGTAGACACCCGGAGAAGGCAACTGTGTAGGGTCCATATCTGGGCCAGCCACACTGAGGAACTGTGAGGGTTAGAACTGGAAATTGTCAAGGGAATGTGAACCCAGCTACCATATGGGAGAGTTCAACTTATGTTCAATGTGAATGCCATGGCAATATTCAAAGGTAAGAATTCGCTCCATACGTGCTTGAGGTAAATAGGACAAACCTAGAATTTATGTAAACAGTGAGAAGATTGGATGCGTTTTCCGTCACATATTTTAATACTAGCAGCATATTTTGTATGTCAATCCATCAGGCATTCAGAAATACATGCTTATGAAATTTTTTTTGCACCATCAGACAAAAGACAAGGGTAGAAGACATTTGTAACCCTATACACACTAGTAAATTAAAAACTGAAGGACCTTTATGTCCTAACATATCTGTGTTGTGAAAGGCTGCCCTGTGAAATACGGGATTTCTTCAACATATTTTAAAAATCATAGGTGTCAATATTTTTTAGAAATCCACTTAAATTTTCTCTTGCTATTTTACAGTGCCTATTTATTTATTTAGTGGCTCTGCTGATTTTGATGTATATCCTAAACTTTACATTTTCCTTAAAGGATGTTTTATACAACTTTATGTAAAATGTTTCACTATCTTCACATTCTCTCCCTGTCCTTTTGTTTTGCTCTTATATGGTGGTCTTGTGTCTTTTCTCTGGCTTTTCAAACCTAGTAAGACTAAGACACTAAAGTAACTTTGCCCGTGGTTTGGTAATGCCTTCTAAAGCACATCCTAAGCTCTCGTGCATACCGGCGTCTCCTTTGAGCTCTGTGCTTTTGAGATCCCATACACCTAAATTCCAGTACTCCAAATCAGTACTGCTCAGTTGTAGATACTAAGTTTAAAAATGTATTTTAATAGCAAGTTAGTTTAGTGCACTCTTGCTTCTTTCTTGACTGCTTATATACATGTATATTCCTTTAAATGAATCTTGGAATTTATTTAAAAATTTTAAATTATACTAATGAAACTGTACACTGTTGTGAATTCATAAGTGAATTTGGAAAGAATTTGTCTTTATGACACTGAATCCTTTTTATCCAAGAATCATATGTGTCTTTACATTTAATCCAGTCTATATTTATATCACTGAGTAAATATATAGAAATGTAGATATATACAGCTGCAGTTATAGATACAAATATAGATATTACATGTTAAATCTATATCTATCCCATATAACATATATACATGTTATATGTGTGTGTGTATATATATATGTTTATGTTATTAAGAGCTCCCATAAATTTTTCTTTTATTTCCTATATGATTTTAGTTTGAGCTTGAATTTTCCTTGTATAAACAAGCAAATATTTATACTAGTTTTAATACTGCCGTTTAGACATTTTGTCTTATTTTAGCATTGAATATTTTCACAATTATTATAAATATTATCTAATATTAAGAATGTACCTGTTAAAAATATTTATTTTAACATTGAATTATTTTATTGTTGAATTAAAATTCCTTTAATATGATAGTAAATTTCTATTTTATGCTTTCTCTATGCATATGCAAATTAATCTATGCACTTCTTTATCTCTATGTAGTAACATATTAAAATAAGGTCTCTCTTCTTCTAAGGGACATACACATGTTTGCACATAGAATATGAGACTCTTTATAGCATTTAAAATCTTTAAAGACATGAATATTGTCTTCTAACAAATATATTTTAGCATGTACTGAGAATCCCCTGTTTATTTTTAATTTGGGCTAATCAATATGATTATTAATATTATTGTATTACCAAATTTGGAAACACACTTTCATCCCCAAGGTGGATATTTGTTTTATTTTTTTTTGCCAATCTCTTGTCTTACTGTTTCAAACATTGTTGGATATTATTTTTATTTTATTTGGCATTTTAGTATCAACATTTGTAATTGATGTACTCTACATATTTTTTCTTCAATATCTGTTGGGTTTTATATTTACTGTTATATTGGATTTGTAGTAGACATTGACAAAAAGTATTCCTGTATGTTTTATAGCTGTATGAAGGAAACTAATATGTTTTACCCCTAAATATATTTCCTTGATAAATTTCAAAATGGCTATTGAGAAGGGCTGGAAATGCAAACTTAGCTGCAAAGCTGTCTTGGGGAGATTTGCATCGGTAGAGAATCTGCCTTGATGCAGCCAGGCTTTCTCTGAGGTCTGCCCCCTTGTCTGGATCTAGGAAAGCTTAACTGAGAGTCTGAGGTCTCCTAAGGTCTGAAAGAAACCTTTTCGGTCTATTCTCTCTGAGGACTGCTCCCAGTGAGGTTCCACCTATGCAATAAGTCCACTGTTGCTAGCCAGGGTCGTTTTCTCACATAACCTTTTTTTTTTTTTTCCTGTGATCCAAGACCCCATTCTTTCTGTAAACTTCATGTGGTAGATAAGCTTCTGCACGCATCGTGTGTCTGGGTCTTCGTTCTAAGGGCTCCGGTGTACACACATTGCAGAAACCTGCATGCCTTTTCTACTATTTACCTGCCTCCTCTTAGTGATTTTCAGGGAAACTTCAGAAGGCGAAAGGGACATTCTCCTTTAGCCCATTCTCAGACAAAATACCCCAACATTTAACTGATTCCTAATAGCTTAAAATCACTTTGAAAAATCCATATATTTATAACCTTTTCTTCCCTCTATGATTTCTGGTCAGCTTGGGTTTTGTTTTTCTTTCTATTTACTTCATCCTTGAAAAGATCTATTTTACGTCTATTTATTCTCATTTATGGACATTGAGAAAAGAAAATAACTTTCATGTGAGAAATGCAAGTCCTTTTAAATAATCAGGCCCAGAGAGATATTCAAATGAGACAGCAGTTCTGTCCTGCTCCGCTTTGAGCTGTGTGTTCATCTAGGCTGCTTGCTGTTGCCACAGTAGCTATAAATTGACAAATAACGCCACACCAGACACTATAATCCACACCCAATAATAGTGTAACAGTGTATAGCCAGTCACTAATAAATGTTATTTCCATAAGCCAATGAGAATTTGTGACAAACCTCTTTGCATCATCCCACTTCTGGACCCTTTTTTGCCTTTAAGAAACTGCTTGTTGCAAAGCTCCAAAGGGAGTTCATATCCAAGGATACTTGGGTCTGTTTCTTCCAGGCAGCTGTCCTCATTTTTGCTCAAGTAAACTCTTTGAATTACGTTTTGTGCGTCAGCCCCTTCCACTTACATTAACAACATGGATTTGTGTCACCATGTACAGCAACTAAAATGTTTACACTTTTCCCCTCGAGGGCACTGATGTGTTTTCCTGAGCACTTGGAATAGCTATGTAGTGTTTACTGTCTAGATTATGGTTTCTCAACCTAGGTGCTACTTACCTTTAGGACCAGAAGATTCTTTGTTGTGGGAGGCTGCCCTAGCAATGCTAGGTGTTTCGTTTGACCTCTAAATTTCACACCTCCACCAGTCTTGACATGCCCACAATAACCCTAGACATTGACAAATGTCTCCTGGGGAAAACTCTCCACCAGTTGACAACCAAAGTTCTGGAAATATTGGAATTGTCCATTGAGATTGTATGTTATCCAAAACAAATACTTTTATTTGTTTTTAAACATCTACTTCCATCTACTTATCTACTTATTTTTACGTTTATTTGTAACTTAATTCCATCAAGGAGAGAGAGTGTATTTTCTGTTATGCTAAATTTTTGAAGAATGTATTGAATATTTATGACCTGATATATGGATGATATGTAGATATTACATGTTTGTATTATCAAATTTCAGGGCGATAAGGAAATAAATACTTATAATATTTATACTATCACTCTATATTAGTTATTTTCTTTCTTCACTACAGGAGTTTTTCAACCTATAGGCTATTTTTCAATTCTAGGTTATCCAGTAGATTTTGAAATGTTATGATTAAATATCTACTTCTCAAGCATTCATCTTTGCAAATGAAACAATCCCAAGCTCTTATAATGCACATCATATAAAGGGCAGATTAGTCAATATATGGTTCAGAAATAATTATGTAATATTTATAAGAAAATTAAAAATTTAGATCCTTAACTCAGATAACAATAATCCAAATTAAAATGTGATTTCATTACATAATTTAAAATGACACCAGAATACTAGTAAAAATGTAGATAAGTTTATATAATCTTTTTTAGCTGTAGAACTTTATTAGCGAAAATTCAAATACAGGAACCGAAGTAAGATTGAGACCTATAGTCAAAAGAAAATGTGGTACATACACACCATGGAATACAATGCAGCCATAAAAATGATGAGTTCATGTCATTTGTAGGGACATGGATGAAAATGGAAATCATCATTCTCGGTGAATTATCGCAAGAACAAAAAATTAAACACCGCATATTCTCACTCACAGGTGGGAATTGAACAATGAGATCACATGGACACAGGAAGGGGAATATCACACTCTGGGGACTGTGGTGGGGTGGGTGGGGGGAGGGATAGCATTGGAAGATATACCTAATGCTAGATGACGAGTTAGTGGGTGCAGTGCACCAGCATGGCACATGCATACATATGTAACTAACCTGCACAATGTGCACATGTACCCTAAAAATTAAAGTGTAATAAAAAAAGAATTAATTAAGGTAGGAGCTACTTTTCAAAGAGCGCATTTTTTTCACAGACCTATTAAATAAGACAAATAACATTTAAACTTTATTTTTAAATTTGCAGAATAGTAGTTTTCAGCAGATGGTTTATTTTAGCAAATTCCATCTTCACATTGTGCTATGCTTTTATGAGTTCCAGCTTTTAACAGATAATATTTTACTGCTGAAACCATCATGTGTGATATAATTGTTCATTATGTGCCTTAAAACACAAACAATATAATTATTTTCAACTTGGAGCAAATTAAAATCTTATCAGCAATTTAAAAACTCTAGAGTCGTCTTCTTCTGGTTAATTATTTTAAACTTGTATTTTTCTCTTTATGTGTTTAGTGAGTTATCTTATCAAGGAGAAGAACTCAAGCTGATTATTCTTTTTTTTTCCATCCACCTCGCAGGTGTGTTAATAATTTCATTTCTCAGAAAATGTTCTTTCATATCCATCTTACAAGATGAGAGACATTATAACATCTTCCATTCGTAAGTGATACCAGTAATGGAAAATATTGCAGCTTCATGAATATGGTGATACAAATAGTTATCCGTCTAACCTCTTTCAGTGCCAAATGTTTACTTTACTCAGTGAATTAGTCAGTTGACTGGTAATTTCTTCTGAAATCACTAATGAGAGGATCAGAGGACTGGCTGTTGTCTGTACCTCATATGACTCCCAGTGCAGACAATTGTTTCTATGGAGCACAGACAGTTGAAAGGATTGACTTCCTGCCTAGAATAGTTTCTGCTGTGCTTCTTATCCTTCTTGTGGAGATTTCAGATTATCTGAATTGCTTTTCTATCTTGAGAAAAAAAGCAACAATTCTCCCAGCTGAGAGGAATGTAAACTGTAGTAAGTTAGCAGAACCAAACCGTAAAATTTTTACATTGTTGGTTGCAAAATGCAGCGCTGGTGTCTCCATCACTAACCTTCTCTATCCCTCATTGCGCTTCCTTTGACTGCACTAGGATACCTCTAGGCAAATCTGTATTCCCGAGACAGAGTGCCCTTTTGGTGAGCTATAAGCACACTCGATGGTAGGCTGAAATACTAGCTTTTATCTATGGCGAAATGGAATCATATCAGTGATTTTTTTAAAAAGGAAATTTAACTCTTACTA